>NC_000005.10:20610851-20913881 GCF_000001405.40 Homo sapiens | reverse complement strand
AATCTTTATAGCAGTGTGAGAATGGACTAATACATCAATTAAACGATATTACAAACAATAGTCCAAGTTATATAATATTGTGTTGTTTGTGACAAAACAGTTTTTGGGGATCGATATTTCATGTCCTTTATAAAATGATTTTATAAGTTATCATTCTTTTTCTATGCCTGGAAATAGTTAATAGCACTGGGATTATCATATTTTAAAAGATTTAATAGAATTTCCATGTGAGACAACCTTGATGAAAGTAATATTTGTGGGAGATTTTTCATTGTGTTCTCTATTTAATGTATTATGTATAGTTGGCTTAAGTTATTTCTCTTCTAAAGTTAGCTTAGTGTTTTGAAATTTTAAAATTTGTTAAAACATACAATTCTCTTACTTGAGCTTTACAAATGTATTTACAAAGAGGTGTGTAAAATTCATTCCTATTTTGTGCAATTTTGTGTTCTTTGTTCTGGATTAATTATCTAGTATATGTCACTATGTTTGATTTTTCAAATAACTAGTTTTTTACAAGTATTTCCTAGTTATGCTCTTTTTTATTCCCTGAATTCACTAGTGGGCACTGGTATAAGTCCCAAAGTCCAAACACCTGAGACCCAGGAGCTCCTATGTCTTTGTGTAGGAGAAGGTGGATTTCCCAGCTCAAGAAGAGTGAGAGAACTTGCCTTTCCTTCACCTTTTTGTTCTATTAGAGGCCCCAAAAGTCTAGATGATGACCACCCATATTGGTGACAACAGATCTCCTTTACTCGTTCTATTGATACACATGCTAATCTCTTCTGGAAACACCCTGATGGACACACCTAAAAATAATGCTTTACCAGGCATCTGAGCATCCCTTAACCCACTCAGATTGATGCATAAAATTAACTATTGCAAGTATGCTCAAGAATCAAAAGATTAAACAAAATAAGGTATAAACATCTAATGAAAGATTGCCAATAAAAAAGAATGAACTACTCATGCATATGGCAACATGAATGAATCTCAAAATTATTACACTTAATGAAATAGTCAGAAAAATAAAGTACTTTCTGTTTCAAAAAATATAAAGTAATATAAGTGGAAGCCAATTTATTGTGACATCAGTGGTTCCTAGGTCAAGAATTGGAGAGAGGGAGGGATGCGCTACAGAGGACATCAGGAATTTTGGGAGGTGTTGAAAATGTTCTGTATCTTGACTGGATAACTAGCTACAACATGTGAATCTCAATTCTCTACTGCATACCTAATTTAATGTGACTTTTGAAATTATAATGAGCCATTACTATTAGGAAGGATCCTTGTTTCTGTTGAATAGGTATTGCACGTGCTTTACATGCCACACATGCAAGAGTCCGAGTAAGCTGTTCTCATTGCCCTGAAATGGAGGCATACTGCTCCTTTCTTCCTATAATTTTGCTAAACAGGTGACACTTTTATGTATACACATTCACTTCAGAAATATTCCTAGCATTCTGGTATAATAGATTTCAACTTAATTTTATCAGATCCTATTGGAATCAGCTCTAGATGATGAGATAATATGAGTGATAATTGGAATCTTTCTAGTTTTACTACTTCCAAGAGTTAACACGAACATATTAATTTTATAGTTACAGAAAAATAATATATAATGGCTGATCACAGTTAGGAATGTGAACTACTTTTGGATCCTTTCAATGTGAGCAGCGGAGGAGGTTTCTTTTTAGGCACAGATTACTCTTAATGTGTCATTGATGAGACTCTGGTTTCTGAGTCTAAGGTGATGGCATCATAATAAGGTCTCTGGTTATTTCATGATGTAGTATACATAATGTTCATATTGATTTGGTAGCTCAGTGAGTATGAGTTTTCAGGTGGATTGATTAGTGATCTCAGTTACAGAGAACTTGAGAAAGTTGAGTCACATATAATAAAGCAGGGTTCTAGAGGGAAAATCCCAGGATAGCCATAGCAATATTTGGTATTAGATGAAGGTGAATGTATCATGTGTGTTTCTGCCTTATTCCACCATCTCAGACTCAAATACCTACTGGTACCTACAGGGATCAAGCAGTAAAAATAAATATATGAATGAACTAGCTGTAACATAATAGAGAGCTGTATGGCCTGTGGTGAACCAGAGAAATGATACTTTTTAAATGACATTCAAATTTATTGTTTCTATCAAGACTGTGTAGATAGAATTTAATCCACGGTATGTCAATTTGCAAGCCCCTGTTACACTGCCATAAAAAGGAGTCAAACAATGTAATTCTGTCACACATGTACAATTCATTGACTACTCAGTGCCTTCTCCTACATGCCCATAAGTACTTATAGTAAAGAACTGTCTCTCTTTGAGCTCATTGTGTCCTCATTATAAAAGTTAGCATAATTATTTATTATTATTAGTTTTAATTTTCATCAATCAACTTTATCTATATAGTTATTTACTTATTACAAAATAACTGATCTGATAGGAGATCAAAGGAAGAAAAATTGAGAGTAGATTTTATGCCTAGCAGTCATTTCCTCAACTCCTATTTTATAACCAATTGCAATACATGTAGCTCTGAGCTCTCTGTTCCATTGAAACTGCTCTTTCTAAAAGAATGTATCACTTTTGAATGGAAACATAATGTCTCCATGAATACACTGATCTTCTAGACTTCTCTGATGCAAGTGAAAATAATGATCACTTTCACTTTTGAATTCCCAACTTCTTGTCATTTGGATTTTGGTTCAGCCTCCAACATCTAAGCATTACGTATCCCAGGTTCCCTACTGAGACACTTCTGGTTCTCCATATTTAAAATTTGGAGGTTTGATTTCTTCTGAGATCCCAACTACTATTAATACCCACACTCATGACTCTTAGACACTTGCATCTTAATATGTCAAAAATGTAATGGCTTCACTTCTGCACATCTGTTTACATTTATATCACCTGTCTCTATGCAAAGTGGTAAAACCCCATATAATTTAACTGAAGTCATAAGTAACAGGGTAAACTATGATCTCACCTGCTTGAACTGATTTCACATTTTAATTTCATGTATATTTTTGTTGGTTAGCTATTCATATAAGTATATATTTCGCATCTTATCTTGAAAAACTACATCTATAGAACTATATTTGATATCTCTGATTTTAAAAATAGTCAATATTTTTTATTATCCCATATGCATTTTAAAATCTCACATATTTGTTTATTACTAGCCTTAATGCAATACTTTCAAAATATTCAGGGCTTTGCATATCCAACATATTTTTAAAACCTTATTTGTTTTTTTCATTTTATAGATTATATTACATCTTTTAACGAGAATAGTTATAATAATTTAAAACCTACTGATGAACTACATCACCTTTAATTCTCTAAACTTTTAAGCTAAAGTGTAAGAGTTTTAATATCAGTTAAATTCTTTTTCCTGACTTTGGAATAACTAGCTTTCATAGGTATGGAAAAAGCAAAGAAAACTAGGTTAATGAAAATACTACAGGACTGTTTCTATCTTAAACCACTTGTGATATTCATCATCCTTTTGTCCTAAGAAATGGAGTAACCGCTCAAACTTCAAAGTACATGTGTCAATAAAGAAGACATTTCCAAGTAAAATAGAAACTGCTCCTTACCTACGTTTGATCTCACCCACTCACACACAGGTCTTAGAAGCCAGATGTGAATGTTAAAAATCACCCATCACAGATTTATGCATGAAAATGAATTTGAAATCAGACAGCCTTGCCCACTGCTTATATGTGGATGTCTGACTTTGATATACAATACACTCCTTACAATATTTCCATACATTTTCTATTGTAAACCAATTCTATACAGCAGAAAAATAACTTTTAAAGCTCCACAGCTTATGGGGCATTTCTAAAATAGAAAATGAAGATCTAGAAATGTTTCAAAACACTACACTGAAAACAATGAACCCTAGGTATCAAATTTACATAGTTGATGTCAAGGTGTATAGACCTTGGAAGATATTTTTGCATGAGGTCAGAGATAAGATCAATCAGGGAATGTAGAGTTAAGCAAAAATGTGCTTCTGAGAAAAGAACCATAAAGCTAGTTAAGAAGCCTGAGTAGAAAATTATTCCTACAGTTATTTGAACCATGTTATGACACCAGTGCAACTAAAGACTACAAGGAGATCTGCTCTTTTGGGCACCTCGAAGTTTTTAATGCTTGGAAACATGATGAAACAACAGCCCACTTCAGATGTGTTCTGGGTGTGATCTGAATGAGCAGAGACGGCTGGTGGAAAACATTAGAAAACCAATGGTCATGTCGCTGTGGAAATGTCTTGTGGGTAAACATGGAAAGAATGAGTAATCACCAGTCCTTGTAAATTATGGACTTATTAGCAAGAACACAAAATAATATGCTAATATCTGTCAAAAATAAGTGGATACAAAGTCTTTGAAATAAAGGGAATAGATTAAGTATGTTTTTCAGAGATATTCATTGCTTTCTTGGTAACAGCAAAATCTTGGAAACCAAAATCTTCATTAAAAGAAGAGTGGTTAGGTTAATCATGAGTTAATAAAGAGGCTATTCTCCACTGCCAGTTTAAAAAAAATGTACCCTGGTATGAAACACTCTTTAATATATGTTTTAAGTAAAAAATTAATTTATAAAGCTTTACAAAAATCACATTTATATATATGTGGGTGTGTGTATGTGTGTGTATCTATCTCTCTATCTATCTATCTATCTATCTATCTATCTGGCATATGTATTGATATAGATTGGATATTTGTCCCTTACCAAATCTCATGTTGAATTGTAATCCCCAGTCCTGGAGGTGGGGTCTGGTGGGAGGTGTTTGGGTAACAGGGTGTGTGTATTAGTTTGTTTTCTTTTTTTTTTTTTTTTTTTGAGACGGAGTCTTGCTTTGTCGCCCAGGCTGGAGAGCAGTGGTGTGATCTTGGCTCACTGCAAGCTCCACCTCCCAGGTTCACGCCATTCTCCTGCCTCAGCCTCCCAAGCAGCTGGGACTACAGGCGCCCGCCACCACGCCAGGCTAATTTTTTGTATTTTTAGTAGAGACAGGGTTTCACTGTGGTCTCGATCTCCTGATCTTGTGATCCGCTCACCTCAGCCTCCCAAAGTGCTGGGATTACAGGCGCGAGCCACCACACCACCGGGTCTAGTTTGTTTTCATACTGCTGATAAAGACAAACCCCAGACTGGGCAATTTACCAAAGAAAGAGGTTTAATGGACTTACGGTTCCACATGGCTGGGGAGGCCTCACAATCAAGACAGAAGGCAAGGAGGAGAAAGTCACATCTTACATGGATGTCAGGCAAAGAGAAAGCTTGTGAGGGGGAATTCCTCTTTTTAAAAACATCAGCTCTCATGAGGTTTATTCACTACCATGAAAACAGCATAGGAAAGACCCGCCCCCATGATTCAATTATCTCCCCCTGGATCCTTCCCACAACACTTGGGAATTATGGGAGCTACAAGATGAGATTTGTGGAGAGAAACAGAGCCAAACTACATCATTCCACCCCTAGCCCCTTCTAAATCTCAGGTCTTCACACATCAAAACCAATCGTGCCTTCCCAACAGTTCCCCAAAGTCTTAAGTCATTTCAGCATTAACTCAAAAGTCCGCAATCCAATGTCTCATCTGAGACAAGGCAAGTTTCTTACACCTGTGAGCCTGTAAAATCAAAAGCAAGTTAGTTACTTCCTAGATACAATGGAGGCATAAGCATTGGGTAAATACAGCCATTCCAAATGGGAGAAATTGGCCAAAACAAAGGGGCTACAGGCTCCATAAAAATCCAATACCCAGAGGTACAGTAAAATCTTAAAGCTCCAAAATGATCTCCTTTGACTCCATGTGTGGCATCCAGGTTACACTGATGCAAGAGGTGGGTTCCATGGTCTTGAGCATCTTTGCCCCTGTGGCTTTGCAAAATACAGCCTTCCCCCACACTGGCTGCTTTCACAAGCTAGGGTTGAGTATCTGCAGCTTTTCCAGGTGCACGGTGCAAGCTGTCAGTGGATCTACCATTCTGGTGTCTGAAGGACCATGGCCCTCTTCTCACAGCTCCACTAGGCAGTGCCCCAGTGGGGACTCTGTGTGGGGGCTCCAACCTCACATTTCCCTTCTGCATTGCCCTAGCAGAGGTTCCTCATGAGTGCCTGACTCCTGCAGCAAACTTCTGCCTGGACATCCAGGCATTTCCATACATGCTCTGAAGCCTAGGTGGAGATTCCCAAACCTCAATTCTGCCCACAAAACCACTTTTACCTCCTAGGCCCTGGGCCTATGGTTCTGGGTAGGGGCTGCTGTGAAGTCCTCTGACATTCCCTGGAGATATTTTCCCCATTGTCTTGGGAATCAAAATTCAGCTCCTCCTTACTTATGCAAATTTCTGCAGTTGACTTGAATTTCTCCTCAGAAAATGGGAATTTTTTTTTCTACCATATTGTCAGGCTGCAAATTTTCCAAACTTTTACACTCTGCTTCCCTTATAAAACTCAATGCCTTTAACAGCACCCAAGTCACCGTTTGAATGCTTTGCTGCTTAGAAATTCCTTTCACCAAATACCCTACATCATCTCTCTCAAGTTCAAAGTTCCACAGATCTCTAGGGCAGGGGCAAAATGCCATCAGTCTTTTTGCTAAAACATAACAAGAGTCACCTTTGCTCCAGTTTCCAACAAGTCCCTTATCTCCATCTGAGACCACCTCAGCCTGGATTTCATTGTTCATATCATTGTCAACATTTTGGCCAAAACCCTTCAACAGCAGTTTCTCAATTGTTCCAAAATTGGAACTCTAGGGAGTTCCAAACTTTCCCACATTTTCCTGTCTTCTTCTGAGCCCTCCGAACTGTTCAAACCTCTGCCTGTTATCCAATTCCAAAGTTGCTTCCACATTTTTGGGTATCTTTTCAGCAATGCTCCATTCTACTGGTACCAATTTCCTGTATTAGTTTGTTTTCACACTGCTAATAAAGACATACCTGAGACTGGGTAATTTATACAGGAAAAAAGGTTTAATGGGCTATCATTCCATACGGCTGGGGTGGTCTCAAAATCATGGCAGAAGACGAGTAGAAAGTCACATGTTACATCAATGGCAGCAGGCAAAGAGAGAGCTTGTGCAGCAGAACTCCTCTTTTTAAAACTATCAGATCTTGTGAGACTCACTCACTATCATGAGAAAGCCCAGGAAAGACCAGCTCCCACAATTCAATTATCTCTCACTGGGTCCCTCCCACAGCACATGAGAATTACTGGAGCTACAAGATTTGATTTGAGTGGCGACACAGAGCCAAACCACATCAGGGTGGATCTCTAATGGCTCAGTGCTGTCTTTGCAATAGAGTGTTCTTGTGAAATCTGGTCGTTTAACAGTGTGTGGCACCCCCTCCCATTCTCTCTCTCACTTGTCCCTGTTTTCACCATATGGCATGCCTGCACCCTCTTCACCTTTTGCCATGATTATAAGCTTCCCGAGGCCTCTCTAGAGGAGGAGCAGATGCCAGCACTATGCTTTCTGTAAAGTCTGTGGAACTGTCAACCAGTTAAAACTTTTTTTCTTTTTAAATTGCCCAATCTTGGATATTTCTTTATAGCAATGCAGGAATGTCCTAATACAGAAAATCTTATCAAGGATTGGGGCATTGCAATAATGGTATTTGACAATGTGGAAGCAACTTTGGAACGGGTTGAAAGAGTTTTGAGAACTCAGAAGAAGATAGGAAGATGAGGGAAAGTTAAATGGTTGTAACCAAAATGTTAATTATGATATGGACAGTAAAGTCCCAGTTGATGAGGTCTCACATGGAAATGAGGAACTTTTTGGGAACTGGAGCCAACATCACACGTATTATGCCTTAGTAAAAAATGTGGCTGTATTGTGTCAATGCCCTAGAGATCTGTGACAGTTTGAACTTGGGAGTGCTGGCCTAGGGTATCTGGTGAAATAAATTTCTTTTATTATTTTAAATTTAAATTTTAATTTTTTTTTTGAGATGGAGTCTCGCTCTGTTGCCCAGGCTAGAGTGCAATGGTGTGATCTCGGCTCACTGCAAGCTCCGCCTCCCGAGTTCATGCCATTCTCCTGCCTCAGCCTCCCAAGTAAGTGGGACTACAGGGCCTGCCACCATGCCCAGCTAATTTTTTTGTATTTTTAGTAGAGACAGGGTTTCACTGTGTTAGCCAGGATGGTCTCAATCTCCTGATCTCGTGATCCGCCCATCTCAGCCTCCCAAAGTACTGGGATTACAGGCATGAGCCACTGCACCTGGCCAGAAACTTCTAAGCAGCAAAGTGTTAGTGTTCAAGATGTGTCATGGCTGCTTCTAACAACCTAAATCCAGATGCTGGAGCAAAGAAACAACTTAAAATTAAAATTTATACTTAACATATAAAGAGTATAAAAGTTTGGAATATTCATAGCCTAGCCATGTAGCAGAAGAAAAAAAAAATCTTTTTTGCAAGAAGAATTCAAGCAGGCTATGGAGCAACCACTTGCTAGAGACTATTTGTACAACTAAAAGAGAGCCAAGTGCTAATATACAAGACAATGGGGAAAAGGCCTCAAAAGCATTGCAGAGACCTTCACAGCAGCCCTTCCTATCACAAGCTCAGAAGCCAAGGTGGAAAGAATGGGTTTGTAAGTCAGGTTCAGTGCTATGCTGCCCTGGCAACCTTGCAACACTGCTCCCCCATCCCAGCTGCTGTAGCTCCAACTCCAGCCAGGCTTCAAAGGGGCCCAGGTACAAGTCAAGCTGCCACTTTGGAGAATGCAAGCCTTATGCCTTGGTGGCTTCAACGTGGCATTAAGCCTGCAGGTGCACAGAGTGCAAGAGTGGTGGATTCTGGGCAGCCTTCACCTAGATTTCAGAGGATATATATAAGAAGACCTGGGTGTCCATGCACAAGCTAGCTACAAGGACAGAGACCCCAGAGAGAAGCTCTACTAGGGTAGTGACAAGGGGAAATGTGGGGTTGAAGCTCCCACACACGATCCCTATCAGGGCACTTCCTAGTGGAGCTGTGAGAAGGGGGCCACTGTCATCTGGATCTGAAAAATATAGAGCCACTGGCAGCCAGCATCTTGCATCTGGAAAAGCTGAAGGCACTCAGCCACCTGTGAGAGAAGCTACAGGGGCTATACCCTGTGAAGTCACAAGGATAGAATTGCCCAAGGCCTTGGGAGCCCACCCCTAGCACCAGAGTGCCCTGAATATGAACATGGAGTCAAAAGAGATTATTTTGGAGCTTTAAGATTTAATGACTGCCCTTCTGGGTTTTGAACTTGCATGGAACCCATAGCCCCTTTCTTTTGGATGATTTTTCCATTTTATAATGGGAATGTTTACCCAATACCTGTACCCCCATTGTATCTTGGAAATAAATAACGTATTTTTGATGTTACAGGCTCATAGGTAGAAGGGACTTGCCTTGTCTCAGATGAGACTTTGGAATTTTGAGTTAATGCTGGAATGAGTAGAGATCTTGAGAGACTGTTGGGAAAGCATGATGGTGTTTTGCAGTTTGACAAGGGCAGGAGATCTGGGAGATATCATTGGCCAGAATGATAGAGTTTGAATGTTTGTCTTTGCCCAAATCTCATGTTGAATTGTAATCCCCATTACTGCAGGTGGGACCTGGTGGGAGGTGTTTGGGTCATGGGAGCAGATCCCTCATTGCTTGATGGTGTCTTTGTGATAGTGAGTTCTCAAAGATCTGGTCATTTAAAAGTGTGTGGCTCCTCCCCCGCCCTTCTCTCTCTCACTTGTTTTTGCTTTTACCAAGTGATGTGCCTGTTCCCCCTTTGCCTTCTGCCATGATTATAAGCAAACTGAGGCCTCCCTATAACCTGAACAGACGTCAGCACCATGCTTTCTATAAAGGCTGCAGAACCATGAACCCATTAAACCTCTTTCCTTATAAATTGCCAAGTCTCTGGTATTTATTTACAGCAATGCAAGAATGGCCTAATACATGCATATAACATTTTGTAAGGTTGAAAATGAATATTGTATGCACACACACAGACACACAAACACCCATATATACACACACATACTTGCCTGTGTGTGTGCATGCATGTATAATTTTTAAAGATAAACCACCCAATTAAAAATGGACAAAAACTTGAAAGATATTTTTCAAAAGAATCTATACATATTGCCAACAAGTATATAAAAGATAATAACATAATTATCACAGTAAATGTGTATTAAAGCCACAATAGAGCAAGATTACTTACCCAATGACATGGCAAAAATGCAAAAGTAAGACAATCCTAAATGTTAGCAAGAATGTGGAGGAAATCTGTACTATAATATAGACTATGGGAGTGTAAAATTGTTTAGTAACTTTGCACAATAGTTAGCTATTAATTAGAAAGTTAAAATTATACCTGCTGCCATAATTTGGATGTTTGTTCCCTTCAAACCTCATGTTGAAATTTTATCCCCAATGTTGGAGATAGGACCTAATGAGAAGTCTTAGAAGTGGATCCCTGAAGGACAGATTAATGTCCTCCCTTGAGGGGAGGGTGTCGGGTGAGTTCTTGTTCTATTAGTTCCTACAAGAACTGGTTGTTAAAAATAAACTGGCATGTAACCTCTCACTCTTTGTAGCTTCTTTCATCTTGGGATCTCTGCATACACCAGGTTCTTTTCACTTTCTTTATAAGTGAAAGCAGTGTGAGGCCCTCACCAAAAGCATATGCTAGCAACATATGTTTCTTGTACACCTTATATAACTATGCACCAAATAAACCCATTTTCTTTATAAATTACACAGCTTCATGTATTTGTATAGCAGCACAAATGAACTAATACGCCTACTTTATTATTTATGATAATTTCACTCTTATTTACATAAAAATATGAAAAACTATGCCATACATACACAAAAATTTATATAAGAATGTTCAAATAATTCTTACTAAAAATTCAAATATCTGAAATATTCCAGATGTCCATCAAATACCCCATAACGATGGTGATATTTCCATAAAAGGGAATGTTATTCAGCAACAAAACAAAACAAATTTCTGGTACATGCACAAATGTGAGTAGATCTCAAAAAATATGTAATGAAAGGCATTGTACACAAAAATGTATGTATTCTATTTATATGAAGTTTTATTATAGGTGAAACTTTTTTTTGGAAAAAAGAGAAAACTAGTTTACTGGTCTGGGGGAGGACATTCAAGGGATTGAGTGAAAAAGAAAAATAATTTTCTGGGGTGATGGAAATGGTGAATTGTCTAATAGTTGTTTTGGATTATAATGGTTATTCATTTGTCAAAATGATCAAGTCATACACTTAAGATAGTATGTTTTATATAGTAAATCATACCTCAGATACATTTGTGTCTATATCTGTGTTTGTGTATATGTTAAAAAGGGGTAAACAGACATGGCAGGTTCCTCTCAAAATATTCAAATGACTACCAAACAGCAAATGGTATACCTACCATTTTCACATTTCATTCTATGTTCAGATTAAACAATTACTAAAAAAAAAGTTGAATCCTAATTAGTACTATGTATGCTGAATTATTGGAGAGAAGTGTATTCATGTCTCTAACTGCCTTACAAAAATATAAGATGGATAGATAGAGTGATACATGATAAGTTGTATGTTATTGGTAGAATCTAAGTGGTGAGTGTACTGGTGTTCACTGTACAAATATTGCAACTTTTCTGCTTGCTTCAGTAACTTCATAATAATACACTTGGGTAATCAAAGCTTACCATGAGCAGAACTTGGAGGGTTTGTTTCAGTGGTCCTCCCTGGCCCTTTGTCTTCCCTCCCTCCCTCAGAGTAGACTGCCACTTCTTAGGCCTACGGTGCCTAAAGACTGTCTTTCAGTGTTTCCTCCCTCTTCAGAAGGAAGCAGGACCTACCCACCACCTTTCCTTCATAGAGTGTCACTCTGAGCTCCCCTTGCTTCCCCAGCCAATAGTTGCCACTGACTTGTACTTAATGAGAAAATAGTGTTCCTGGAGGATTTCTTTTAGTGCTCACCAACAGAAAAGTAGAAATGAAAAGCATTGTAAATGTAAGCATTTATATTGTGCATCAAGCATCATCAAGGTGAACACGTGGGTAAGAGAGTAGCACATAATATGCTATTTTGAGGCCAGAAGGAAATAACTGATGGTGTTTGTTAGGTATATCTTTTGTCTGTTCATTTTTTTCCTTTGTGTAACCTATTAAATATTTCTCTTTTGTCCTCCTTTTTCAGACATATGATGTTTGCACATAGAGAGTACTTGAACAAGGAAAGCTTGCTGGGTTTGGAACAGATTCTAGATTGTGAATGTGAGACCAAAACCTACTCTGAAATACCAACATAGTGAATTTCACTTCATGTTTTTCTCTCTAAACATATAATCTAAAGATATGTTGTTTATGTTAGTTTTTGATAGTTCAGGTGTAGATAAAAGGGCTGGTCACAGTCTAGAATATAATACATTTAATCTCTATAAAATGCTGTGGTTTTTTTTCTTTGCAAATATATGATACATTTGAAAACAGGAAATTTGAATTATAATTAATCACCAGACTCCATTTATATTCAACTCCTACCATCTAAAAACAACTAAACTTTCCTTCAGGACCAATATATCTCTACTTCTCAGAAGTATGGGGTTATCTCATTCTTAGCTGTGATAAAATGGCTTTGTTTAATTGCCTCGAGCTTTATAAATTTCAAGAAAAATATTGTCATTCATGCTGTGCTCTTTCTCTTAAAATAATTCAAAATTGACAGAGTATTTTGGCAATCTATTCATTATATTGGACAATAAAGCACAAATTTAACATTTTAAAATGTCAAACGCTTTTGCTTAATTGAACTGGTTTTTTCTAAGATGTTAGTATGCAATATCAATAAATGAAAAATACAATTTTGACCTTCCAAATGGTCAAATTAACATTTAAAATAAATCTATACATATTGAGACATGACTTATTTTTCTTTGAAATATTATATTACTTTTCAATTCATGGAGGATTAAATAATGATATTGAAAGGACAAAATGAAAATAAAAGAGATAATTCTATTTGTACCTCGATATTGAAATTGCAATTCCTGGTTTACTTTTCAACATACAATCATATTCCTCGGACGCAAAAAAAAAGTTTGACAATATGTCATTAAAAAGTCACTGATTTGTTGATACTACGCAGTCCCATGACTTTTTATTTTGCCAGTGAGTAGCACGTTAGAAATATGAATTATTTTTGTCCTCACAACTCTGTGAGTGAGTTCTTCCAGAAATTGAGGCACACAAAGTTTAAGAAACTCTTTCAAGATTCACAGCTAGAGAGTGGTAGGATGGAGTCTTACTCTTAAGTATTGTCAATATAGAATTTTCACATATGTATATGTTTTAAAATAATTTTAAGGCTTTCTGCTCTTTAACAGCTCTACACATACACACACAGCATACATAGAATTGAATAAGTATATACGTAAGTGTATGGCACACATATTTTGTGATTCCACAGCTCTTTGGTTGATGCAATTACTCAATACAAGCAATTTTCCCTTTTGCTACCCTTGATCCTCCTAACTCCTAAGGAGAATTAATGCATCTTATGAGTATTTATTTATTGTCCGCAACTACATATGGAATATATGTTAACTACATAACTGCTCACTGTGTTGCCTTCTGAGCCTCTCTCTCCTCTCTCCTCCCCTCCCCGAAAAAAATCTCAGATTCTGAAGTGAGAAATTAAGAATACTGCGGTTGTCATTCTGTTTGGGTCAATATATTGGGCCTTCTTTGAAGCCAAAACTACTTCTGGACTTCTCAACCATGTAAAGATATAGATTTATTTTTTAACACGGTTATAACATAATTTTATATTATTTGTAGCATACATTTGCTAACTGAAGCATTGTTTATTTTCTTTATTAATGTGAGGTATCTATTATACTGAATCATATTATTATGTTTCTGTCACCATTGCTTATGATAATTCCTGACCATTGTAGTCTTTAGATACTTAAAATACTTGAAAAACAGGATTAGATATAATTTATCAATAAGGTTTTAAAAATCTCACTTTATAAAATATACATTGATAACCCACAGTAATTAACAATCTAAGAAGAGCGCAATCTCAGTGCCCAAACCTCTGAAATTAAGCTCACTGATCTCAGTCAATATAACATACTTTGTAACTTGACATCAATAAACTAATGCTGAATAGAAATAAGGTATACATGTATACATGTTTCTTTTGCTTTTTTTAAATTTATTTTATTTTATTTTATTTTATTTATTTATTTTTTGAGACGGAGTCTTCCTCTGACGCCAGGCTGGAGTGCAGTGGCACGATCTTGACTCACTGCAACCTCCGCCTCCTGGGTTCAAGCGATTCCACTGCCTCAGCCTCTCGAGTAGCTGGGACTACAGGCACCCGCCACCACTCCTGTCTAATTTTTTTGTATTTTAGTAGAGACAGGATTTCACCATGTTGGCCAGGATGATCTTGATCTGCTGACCTCGTGATCCCCTCGCCTTGGCCTCCCAAAGTGCTGTAATTACAGGCGTGAGCCACCTGCGCGAACCAAACTAAAGTCAACATAGTTTTAGTTTCCAAAATGACAAACTTATTTCTGATCCTGGGGACTTGAATGTAGCTTTTGGGATGGGGACAGTATAGAGAAATGTTAGAATGTTCACTGTTGGATCACAGAGGCCAAATGAATATATCCCCACTGTCCAAACGTTCCCTATAGTCCCAAGAGACAGGCTTCCTCCTTTTTCCTTTGAGATGCAGTCTTCATTTGCAGAAAGTGTATTACTTCCCTACCCTTTTTTCAATGCACATTTGTCTCAAGCAGATGTGCACATATTGGATCCAAGCATAGGAGTTTCCAAAGAGCTACAAATAGCTTAGATGTCTCAGTGATCTAAACAGCACACAATCACGGCCTTGAGTAATACAGATTTATTGCAATTAAGGAAAGAAAAAAAAAAAACCCAGAAAACAACTTATATGTATCAGCCTGATGGTGAGCTTTCTGGTATCAGAAACCTCGTATCTTTTTTTTTTCTCTGCCTCCCGTGTTGAAGTGATTCTCCTGCCTCAGCCTCCCGAGTTGCTGGGAGTACAGGTGCCCATCACTTTGCCCGGCTAATTTTTGTATTTTTAGTAGAGACAGGGTTTCACCATATTGGCCAGGCTGGTCTCCAACTCCTGACCTTAAATGATCTGCCCGACTCGGGCTCCCAAAGTGCTGGGATTACAGGCGTGAGCCACCGTGTCCAGCCAGAAATATTGAATCTTATTATTCTATAATATTTCAAGTGTCCAGTTCTGCCCTTTTTGGGGAAAAAAATGCATTGACTCTTATGGGACCAGCATTTGCTTTTTTCCTTTGGAATCAAATTATCCTTTACTACATGCAGACATGTTAGGACAATTAATTCAATTTCTGCACTTCTTAGGCCAAGTGAGGTAGAAAAGGATTTATTTTTAAGTTTTTGTTGTGATAGAATGTACATAATATGAAAAGTATCATCTTAACCATTTTAAGTTGCAGTTCAGTAACATTAGTACGTTCACATTATTTTGTGTAATCCTCACTAACTGTGTGTCTTCAGAACATTTTTTGTCATCCCAAGCTGGAACTCTGTAGCCAGAGTTCTGTAAACAATAACTTCCCATTTCTGCTTCCTGCCACCCCGGTAACCAATATTCTACTTTCTTTCTCTATGAATTAAACTATTCTAGGTACTACACATAAGTGGAATCCTACAATATTTGAGCTTTTGTGTCTGGTAATTTCACTTAACATAATGTCTTCATGGTTCATCCATGTTGTAGCATGTGTGTGAATTTCACTCCTTTTTAAGGCTGAATGATTTTCAATTGTACGCATATATCACATTTTGTTTATTCATCCATTCAAGGACATTTGGGTTCTTTCTGCCTTTTGCCTATTGCGATGAATGGTGCTGTGAACATGGATGTACAATGTTCTATGAACATTATTGTAGAACTATCTATACTGTTTTAAAATAAATATTTCTGTTTTAAATTCACTTGGGTATATTCCTCAAATTCATTTTATAGTAAATTATCTTTTTTTTACTTCTATCATCTTCACTCTAAGCCACAAAATGAAATAAATAGATAATGACAACTAATTTATCTTGAGTTATCTTTTGCTTTTCTTCGCTGTTATTGTTATATGTGTGTTTTAGAAATGCTAATCATATAACAGTATTTCTGAAGCATGTGTTACTATTAGGTACAAAACACTTTCAAAAAAAAGATTGCTATTATATATTTTTTCTCTTTAAAATGTATGGAAAATTCAGATGGACAGATTTAATTACTAAAGCTCTTAGTTTTTTTCAAGACATTTTTTTCAAGTCTTTTATTTACACAAATAACATACTTTATGAAAGAGAATGGACTCTAATTGTGGGTGTAAATTAACATTATAAAAAAATTAAAAAACTAGTTAGGCGTAAAATTTCAGCTTTGCATTTGTCTATGTAATGTGTCTACTGTATATAAAACATTGTATTGGCCATTGTGCAGGAAATTATAATGACCCTAAAAATAAATTGTAACCAAGCTCTTGAGAGGAACAGTTAGAAAAACAAAGTGTTCCTGTCAAGTTATTTTTATCAAAATTATTTTATTTTCTTTGCCCTATCAATGATTAAATGTAGTCAAATAACATTTTAAGAAATCTTATGAAGAATACGTAAGACATTTATGTCTAGAAATGGTGGATCAAGTAACAGAGGCCAACTCTCCTATTGAAGGTAATAATGGAGCTTTTAAAATCTGCTCCTAGGTATCAAAGGGCTCATAAAATTGCCAAGAATTTCTGGGCCACCTTTTCAGGGAAGAAGGTAAAACACATTCTGAGATCTGAAGCTAGTATCTGGAACTACTTTTCCTCAGTATGTATTTGTCTCTAATGAAAGATGTAGCAGAAAGCCTGAGATGAGTTTTGAGAGCCCAGTGGGGTTATGTAGACAAAATTTGGAGACCAGACTTGGCCTGCAAGGCAGCCCTGCTAACCTACCCTCACCAAATTTTATTTTGTCACCCTGAGTCAGGTGTAATATTCTGGCACTTAACCAAAAACTAGCTTGAATCATTTTAATCCTCAAATTAAAATATCATGACTTTAGTTTGTTAATGGCCTAAGATGTCTGAAACAAGTAATCAAGTTATAGCATAAGGAAAAACATCCTCTTAGTATACACTATTTTAAAATATTGTTTAAATGCACTTTTTACACTCAATCAAAAATGACCAGACCTACGAGGAGGAAAGACAATGTTAAATGACATGTAGCAAGATCAACCGACACTAGAAACAGACCCATGGGAGTTTCAAATACTGCAGCTACTAAGGAGATAAAATATGAGGTGAAGATTTTGTTAGATCAATAAAACATACATAAAACAACATAACAATATTTTAAAAGAAGTATTCTTTTATTTTACTAATAAAATAAAAATGCTTATCTTGAAATAAAAATATTTTATAGAAAGAAAACATGAGAGAAAGATTGAAAGCAAACCAGCATCAACGGAAATACTAAAGGCAGAAATAATATAAGCAAAGTTAAGTCATAGACACGGGGATGGCAGGGACCAGAGAGAAATAATGAGCCATGGAGATGCTAACTATGCCAGTAAACTAAAAATTATGACTATTTAATATATTCTTTGGAAATTAAATCAAATATTTACTATTGAAATACAGAATGACAATCACATTAAGTTGAATAGTACGGACTACACATAAATATTTTGAAGGTTCTTGCATTGACCGAGAAAAAAGTGAATACACTAACATTAGACTTGACAAACTTGAAATGCATGTTTAATAAATATAATCATAAAAATAAGATAATTATAAAAAGGTATGCAACTTCCAAGCCAAATGAAGGAATGGGATATAAAAAGACTTATAAGTTATAAAACTCATAACTTATGAAATATAGTCAGCATGAACTACATAAGCATGAGAAATGTTCATTCTATTAATTTGTACATAAGCTTATGCATTACATGATTCAAATAAATACAAATTTAGAGCTGTATCTGCTTTTCTACAGCAAGCTAATCAAATAACCAGACAATACAAAAAAGATTTTTTTTAATCCATTTTAAACTGTTTAAGGAATAACGGAGTTCCCCTCTTAATTAGTTAAGTATTACATAATCAAAATCAGGTGATTATATTCTATACTTTTTAACATATTGCATTAGTCTGTTCTCATGCTCCTGATAAAGTCATACCCAAGACAGGGTAATTTATAAAGAAAAGAAGGTTTAATAGACTCACAGTTTCACATGGCTGGGGAGGCCTCACAGTCACGGTGGAAGGCGGAAGAGTAAAAGCATATCTTACATGGTGGCAGGCAAGAGAACTGTGGAGCACAAGGGGGAAAAGGGTTATAAGATCCTGTGAGAACTCACTGACTATGACAAGAACAGCATGAGGGTAACTGCCCCCATGATTAAATTACCTCCCACCATTCCCTCCCTTGACATGTGGTGATTATGGGATCTACAATTTAAGATGAGATTTTGGTGGGGACACAGACAAACCATATCATTCCACACCTGGCCGCTCCAAAATCTCATGTCCTCACATTTGAAAACACAACCATGCCCTTCCAACAGTCCCTCAAAGTCTTAACTCATTCCAGCATTAACTCAAAAGTCCAAGTCCAAAGTCTTATCTGAGACAAGACAAGTTTCTTCTGCCTATGTGCCTGCAAAACCAAAAGTAAGTTAGTTACTTCCTAGATACAATGAGGGTACAGGCATTGTGTAAATACATCCATTCCAAATGTGAGAAATTGGTCAAACCAAAGTGGCTACAGGCCCCATGAACGTCTGAAATCCAATAGGGCACTCATTAAAACTTAAAGTTCCAAAATGATCTCCTTTGACTCCATGTCTCACATCCAGGTCACTCTGATGCAAGAGCTGGACTGCCACGACCTTGGGCAGGCTGGCCCCTGTGACTTTGTAGGGTACAACTGCCTCTCTCCTGGCTTCTTTCACAGGCTGGCGTTGAGTGTTTGTGGTTTTTCCAGGCACACTGCAGGCTGTCAGTGGATCTAACATTTTTGGGTCTGGTGGACAGTGGCCCTCTTCTCACAGCTTCACAAGGCAGAGGCCCATTAGGGACTCAGTGTGGGGGTCCCAACCCCACATTTTCCTTCCTAACTGCCCTAGCAGAGGTTCTCCATGAGGGCCTCTCCCCTGCAGCATACCTCTGCCTAGACATCTAAGCATTTTCATACATACTCTGAAATCTAGGCAGAGATTCCTAAACCTCAACTCTTGATTTCTGTGAACCTGCAGGCTCAACACCACATGGAAGCTTCCAAGGCTTGGGGCTTGCACCCTCTGGAGCCACGGCATGAGTTATACCTTGCCCTCTTTTAGTCATGGCTGAAACAGCTTGGACACAGGGCACCATGTCCCTAGGCTGCACACAGCAGAGGGGCCCTGAGCCCAGCCCACAATACCATTTTTTCCTCCTCAGCCTCTGTGCCTGTGATAGGAGGGACTGCCATGAAGGTCTCTGACATACCCTGGAGATATTTTCCCCATTGTCTTAGTGATTAACATTTGGCTCCTCGTTCCTTATGCAGATTTCTGCAGCTGGCTTGAATTTCACCCCAGAAGATGGGTTTTTCTTTTCTATTGCATCATCTGGCTGGAAATTTTCCAAACTTTTATGCTCTGCTTCCTCTTGAACACTTTGCCACTTAGAAATTTCTTCTGCCAGATATCCAAATCATCTCTCTCTAGTTCAAAGTTCCAAAGATCTCTAGGGCAGGGGCAAAATGCCACTAGTCTCTTTGCTAAAGCATAGTAAGAGTCACCTTTTCTCTAGTTCCCAACAAGTTTCTCATCTCCATCTAAGGGCACCTCATCCTGGACTTCATTGTCCATATCACTATCACAGTTTTGGGCAAAGCCATTCAACAAGTCTCTAGGAAGTTCCAAACTTTCCCACATTTTCCTATCTTCTGAGCTTTGCAAACTGTTCCAACCTCCGCCTGTTACCCAGTTCCAAAGTCGCTTCCACACTTTCAGATATCCTTATAGAAGCACCCTACTCCTGATATCAAGGTACTGTATTAGTCTGTTCTCACACTGCTAATAAAGACATATATGAGACTGGGTAATTTATATAGAAAAATAGGATTAATGGACTCATAGCTTCACCTGGCTGAGGAGGCCTCACAATCATGGTGGAAAGCTGAGGAGAAGCAAAGACACCTCTTACATGGCAGCAGGTAAGAGAAGTGCCTAGCAAGCGGGGGAAAAGCACCTTAAAAAAACATCAGCTCTCATGAGAACTCACTCACTATCACAAGAACAGCATGAGGGTGACTACCGTATGATTAAATTACCTCTCACTGGGTCCCTCCCTCGACACATGGGGATTATGGGAACTACAATGCAACATGAAATTTGAGTGGGGACATAGCCAAATCATATCACATATGTATGCATATAGTTTACAAAATAGCTAATATATTAGGCACATGTTCATATAAAATAAAGTTTGTTTACATGTCATATAGTATATGTTTACATGTCATATAGTAATATAATTTGCGTAATCAATATATAATATTGATTTTACCTATAAAAATCAATTCATTATATTCTCTACTTTTTGAGAAAATACGGCTCAACAAAACAACTCCAGAACCCACAGAAATCCAATATAAATTTCTATTTCTTTTACTGTTCCCAGGAAAAGTAATAGAAAATACTAAGGAACTGATATGATGTTTGATATAATAAAGCTTGCATTTGCTCTATCTCTACAAAATAAATGGTGGCTAATTTAGTAATATCATAAACTCTTTCATCAATTATTATGAAGAGGAGATGAAACTGAAGCACTAGAGTAATAAAGCAATTGCTAAAAAGCATTTTCAGAGTGTACTAAAGAATTTTCTATTTCAGAATACTTTGTCTCAAACTGGGCCAGTGCCATTTTAATCTACATTTTAGTGAACAGCATCTTTGATCTTTAAACTGTGCATATGGTTGTATTATTTTGCTTAATTTTCACACCAAAATTAAATATTCCATATATCCAAATATACTTAACAAGAAGTTGAAGGAGACAATAGTACACCATCACCATGTCTCACTGCATGCCTTCTACCTCTGCTCCTTGCCTAAATAAATATTCTAATTTTCAGTGGTGTGATTTACCAGAACAAACTATGAGTTACAGCAGTCAGTATGAAACCCTTGCAAATTGGAAAATCAGAATCTAGCCTCTACTTCCATCTCTTTATGTATATTGCTCTGGCCAAAGCCAATAGTGACCTGTGTGCAGCTAAGTTCAAGGGTATTTTTGAGTTTCTAAATTGTCTGTGAATAAACAATATTGACAACTCTTTCCATTTCAAAAAATTATCTTTCCTGTTTCTTTGGCAATCTCAATATTATTTTTTCTATCTGGAAAGCAAGAATGTTTCTCTCTGGATTAATTCTTTCTCTAACACTTAGGACAGTTTCCAACAAACTATGCTATTAAAAAAGTAGTTTCTGAATGCGTGAATGAATATAAGTAACTCTTGTACATCTACATTTGGATAAGTAGTAAATATCCTCAATGTCAGCCCCAAAGTATCCTCTGATTATCCTTTGTAAACCATGACTTCTAGGATCACACCACTTGCCACAGTGCAGCCAGCTTCCTAACAAAGGAATCAAGGAGGCATCTTTTATTTTTGTCTGTTCTATATGTCCCCACACTTTCTTATCATACAAATAAAGTGTAATGCATACTATTTTTTTGGAATTTTTATATTATCATATTTCCATAAATATTATTACTTAAGGTGTTTTTAACATTTACATGTTTTCTGTGTGTTTTAACTACATATGTACTTAACTGTATTATTTAGATAAAACATTTTGGCTTCTGTTTTACGTTAGAAGGAGAAAACCTGTCTGGACAATTCCATAATGAGTAAAAGCTACATCAGAACAGATCTATAGAGAGTAGTGCTTTTAATATGTTCTTTGTTTAATAACTAATTGTCTATATCTCAAATAAATACCTGCTTCATTATTTATACGGACATACCAACTACATTTTTTTTGAATAGAGAATGCTGTATTAACTTAGTGATTCCGTCAACAATAGTTATCACGTATCAGATACTCTTGCTAAACGCTAGGAACACCACAGTAAACAAAAGAGATAACGGTCTTTGCCATCAAAGTCCTTGTATTCTAGATATGTTGAGTGATCAAGATATATAATGGATGCTACTATCCAATTTTCATCAAAAACTCCCCTTGGATAATCTTCGCTGTCATGTTAGCCTTAAAAAATACTTGAAATGATGTGGTGCGATAGTGACAGCTCAGATATGGTTCCAATTCACAAATTTATTGTGTGAAATGGAACTATTATTGCTGCCAAAGGGCTTTATATAGAACAACAGAAGTTGCTCTGTGAAGGACTAAATTATCTCTGCATGATGTGGTCCCAAATAATTAATATTCCCTCTAACCAAAGATTGTTGATCATGTCCCATGACAAAAATTAGATGTTTTTGGCAAGGAATGCTGCCTGCAGTGGGCTTTATATTTTATTTTGTTGATGGCTAACTTCCATATTAAAGGCTAAATACCTAGCCAATATTTTCAAGTGAAAAATTCCCTAATAGACTTCATGTAGTGAAGCCAAAAATTTCCATAACTTTGCTGGCATTAAAATGCGTTTGCTCCACAAAAACAACCCCATCTAGCTAAACTCTGACTGCTGATGATACGTGGCTAGCTTAACTACATTAGGCAGGTTCTCTTCTGACCTTAGCCCCAAATGTCCAGTTTGAGACCAAGTGCTCAGCCTTATTATCTTTTTTTTTTTTTTTTTTTTTTTTTGAAACGAGTCTCGCTCTGTCGCCCAGGCTGCAGTGAAGTGGCGCTATCTCGGCTCACTGCAAGCTCCCCCTTCCGGGTTCACGCCATTCTCCTGCCTCAGCCTCCTGAGTAGCTGGGACTACAGACGCCCGCCACCACGCCCAGCTATTTTTTTTGTATTTTTAGTAGAGACGGGGTTTCACCGTGTTAGCCAGAATGGTCTCGATCTCCTGACATCGTGATCCACCCACCTCGGCCTCCCAAAGTGCTGGGATTACAGGCGTGAGCCACCGCGCCGGGCCAGCCCTACTATCTTTACATAGTCATGGAGTTTTAAGATTCTGAACAACAGATCAGATAATCTTTGAATTAACATTGTTAGTATATTAGTACTAGTATAAAATTTCATAAACCTTTTCACAAAAAAGCCAACACTGTCACAAACCATAAGAAAATGTATTATTCCCTTCACACAAAGTCTGGAAGTTGGTGACATTTTTGGTTTCAATGGCAAGGGACAATCACATCTCTGTAATTTTTTGACCCGTTACTCAAAATGCATAGGTTATAAACCCTCACTTTAGTGCCTGTGGTAGTAAGGAAGGGCAGGGCATAAAGACGGGCACCTCGGAAGTGCTGCTGTGCAAAGTATTTTTTCAGTAGGTGTAATATTATGATAAAGAAATATTTGTTTCATCCACAGTTCCTGGCTCATAACTCCCGTAGCCTCTATTATTTCCTAAGTGACTAAAACAATAAGAAGATCTTTTGCTAAACTATTTGGCCTTTTGTTTTTCAGTCCTGAAGCAGCTTTGGGACAGCTTCAGAACAATAAAGGTGAAAGATGATCTTTGCTTATAACCTTAGGATGCGTTAGGCCCCGGAAGCAATCTCAGAAAACAGAACCTCTCTCTGACCTCCTCCTGCTCCTCTTTTACCTGTTCCTTTTTCTCCTCAAGGCAGGCCATAGAATCTAAAAATACACCCTAATCTCCTGAATTTGTGTCTTAGAGCTGCTCATAAAGAAATTCTTCTAGTGTGATGGTTAATATTAGTTGTCAACTTGATTGGATTGAAGGATGCCTAGATAGCTGGTAAAGTATTGTGTCTGTGAGGGTGTTGCCAGAGGAGATTAACATTTGAGTCAGTGGACTGTGAGGGGAAGACCCACTCTTAATGTGGGTGGGCAGCATCCAGTTGGCTACCAGCACGGCTAGAACAAAGCAGGCAGAAGGTGAGATAAGTTGGCTTGCTGAGTCTTCTGGCTTTCACCTTTCTCCCATGCTGTATGCGTTTTTCGTTTGTTTGTTTGTTTGTCACCCAGGCTGGAGTGCAGTGGTGCAATCGTGGCTCACTGCAACCTCTGCCTCCCAGGTTGAAGTGATCCTCCTGCTTCAGCCTCCCTAGTAGCTGGGACAATAGACATGCACCACCACACCGGGCTAATTTTTGTATTTTATTAGTAATGGGGTTTCACCATGTTGGCCAGGTTGGTCTCAAACTCCTGATCTCAGGTGATCCGCTCGCCTCAGCCTCCCAAAGCGCTGGGATTGCAGGCATGAGCCACCACACCACGCCCTGTGCTGTATGCTTCTGTCCATTCTTCCTGCCCTTGGATGTCAGACGGTTATTTGACCTTGGAATCTTGGACTCACACCAGCAGTTTTCTGCGGGCTCTCAGGCCCGCAGCCACAGACTGAAGGCTGCACTATCCGCCTCCCTACTTCTGAAGTTTTGGGACTTGTGCTGGCTTCTTAGCTCTTTAGCTTGCAGACAGCCTACCGTGGGACTTCACCTTGTGATTGAGTAAATTCTCCTTTATAAACTCCCTTTCATATATAGGATATATATAGGATATATAGATACATATCTCACTAATAGGATACATACATATATCCTATTAGTTCTGTCCCTCTGGAGAACCCTAATACACTGAACTACTTTGTCCTATTTTGGGTCATAAGATCCCCATTTCAGGAGGGGTCCTGCTCCAAGTCCTATAGAAAAGAATGCTGCACAGAAGGGCCAAGAAGAATCTGGGCAGACAGGCCTTGCTGGGTTTTCCACTCAGTATTAGATCACACTCATTTCATCCAATCACATTTTGACATGGTGGTCCATAATTTAGTCATACCTCTCCCTGGAAGTCTTCTTAAAAGGCCCAAGAGAATGGGGGATGGAGAGCTTCTGGACAGCTGAACTTGTGAAGGCTTACAGAAAGGTGAACAAGAGCTCACATATGTGCCAGGAGGGTGGCACGCCCCCAATCCGTGAGAAAGAAGCTCCTGTGCGCAGGACCCTTCCAGACCTCTCCCTATATATTTATCCATATGGCTGTTTATTTGTATCCTTTAAAATGTTATTGATAATAAAAGGGTAAATGTAAACAGATGTTTTTCTGGGTTTTCTGAGACACTTTAACAAATTAATAGAGCCTAAAGAGAAGGTCATGGGAACTCCAACTTGAAGCAATAGATCAGAAGTTCCAAGGGTCTGGACTTGTGACTGGTGAAGGAACTGGGGGCAGTCTTGTGGGACTGAGCTCTCAAGCTGCGGAGATCTGACATAATCTTCAGGTAGGCAGCATCAGAATTGAACTGGATCAGGAGCTGCCAGCTGATAACTGCTGTAAAATTGCTTGCTTGCTTGTGAATAGGGAGAAATCTCCACACATTTAGTCACAGAAACTTCTTGTGTTGATAACTGTGGCATGAGAACAGAAGAAAAACCTATGTTTTGTCTACATAGTAGGTGATAAAAGTCTAATATGGTTTGGATTTGTGTCCCAGCCCAAATTTCATGTTGAATTGTAATTCCCACTGTTGGAGGTTGGTCCTGGTGGGAGGTGATTGGATCATGGAGTCGAGTTCTCATGAATAGTTTAGCCCCATTCCCCCTTGGTGCTGTTCTCATAATAGTGAGTGAGTTCTTATGAGATCTGGTTGCTTAAAACTGTATGGCACCTCCCCCAGCCCTTGCTGCTCCAGCCCTGTGAAGTGCCAGCTCTGCCTTTGCCTTCTGCCATGATTGTAAGTTTCCTGAGGCCTCCCCAGAAGCTAAGCAGATGCCAGCATCATGCTTCCTGGACAGCCTGCAGAGCCAATTAAACCTCTTTTATTTATAAGTAACCCAGTCTCACGTATTTCTTTATAGCAGTGGGAGAATGGACTGATACTAGATTCTTCAGCTGATTTTTTCTCATGACTAGCACTGAATTATAAGAACATCCTTAGACTAAGCACCGATGAAATTGAGTCGGATTATTACTGCTTTGACAAAGTATGATTCATCACCTGGGACCCTGGTGGGGTTTTACCTTCTCTGAGATCGAGGTCTCTCCAGCATTTCTTGAATGCAATGGAATTGCATTGCCTGGTACTAAAGCAGGGCGAGTGAGGACACTAGACATTCAACAGTAATTTCCACAAGCATAAGATACAAGGCCCACTACAACTTTGTGCATTTCTCTTCCAGATTTAGGAAAAGTAAAGGTGATCATATTAAAAACAAACAGACAACAACAACAACAACAAAATAAACTAAACTCCAAGACTGCTTAGATAGCCTGGAACTGCATACAACTTTTGTACTATAAAGTAATCTGGAATTAATATAATTGTTAAAGTTAAAACAAAGATAGCTGGGGACTTATTCTAATTCTTAATATTAGTGAATGAGACCATTTTTCAATTCTGTGAAGTTTTGTTTTATAGACTGTACAGTATTAAAGGAGTAAACTACTGTCTTCTGTCAATATGCATTTGTACCTCAGAAAGGATACAATAACATATGGCAAGTTATTCCTTGTAAAGATACAGTCGTATGTTTATTTTTATCTACTTATGGTTTTTGTGCCTTATTTTCTCTACCTGTCCAACAGTGGTCAATTTGAAATATTACTGAGCTTTATTTTTTTTTCTATTTTTTGTTACATAAACTGTAAATTTCCATAATCTCAAAAAATGTACAAAAGGTGAGAATGCTTACAATCTCTATGACCTGCGTATTGATGAGACTGATACCGCCCTCAAATATTTTCACCTAATAGATAATAAACATGAGTCTACTTTGAAGCAGTGCTAAGTGAGAAATTAGTTATTCTTTGAAATCTTGATATAATTGCTTGTTTCAAAATAAGTATGCATTCTTTTTATTTGAATCTGTACCACTTCCCTGTGACTTAGCCTACTTCATCTAATATTTTAAGGCACACAAGTATATGGGGAGATTGTTAGAAATGCAATATCTTAGCCTGTACTACCAGACATTATAATTCAGTAGAACAAGACTGGGGCTGTGGAATTTTGCCTCTTTCGTGTACTCTAGATTGTTCTGATGCATGCCCTCTATGAATCTTTGAATCCTTCTAGGGAAAACAATTGCAGTACATTTGATGTTTTTGTAATATTTATTTTAAGTTCAGGGGTACATATGCAAACTCTTCAGGTTTGTTACATAGGTAAATGTGTGTCATGAGGGTTTGTTGTACACATTATTTCATCACCCAGATATTAAGCCTGGTATCCATTAGTTATTTTTCTTGATCCTCTCCTTCCTCCCATCCTTCACCCTCTTATAGACCCCAGTGTGTGTTGTCCCCTCTATGTGTCCGTGTGTTCTCATCATTTAGCTCCCACTTATAAGTGAGAACATGCAGTACTTGCTTTTCTGTTCTTGTGTTAGTTTGCTCAAGATAATGGCATGCAGCTCCATCCCTGTCCCTGCAAAGAACATGGTTCCCTCCTTTTTTATGGCTGCATAGTATTCCATGGTGTATATGTGCCACATTTTCTTTATACAGTCTATCACTGATGGGCATTTGGTTTGGTTCCATGTCTTTGTTATTGTGAATAGTACTACAATGAACATATGCGTGCATATGTCTTTATAGTATGAATAGAATAAATAATTTATATCCCCTGGGTATACACTTAGTAATGGGATTGCTGAGAAAAATGGTATTTCTGTCTTTAGGTCTTTGAGGAACCACCTCACTGTCTTCCACAATGACTGAGCTAATTTATAGTCCCATCAACAGTGTATGGCCAGGTGCAGTGGCTCATGCCTGTAATCCCAGCAGTTTGGGAGGCCAAGGCAGGCAGATCACATGAGGTCAGGAGTTTGAGACCAGCCTGGCCAACATGGTGAAACCCCATTTTTACTAAAAATACACACACACACACACACACACACACACACACACACACATTAGCCAGGCATGGTGGCATGGGCCTATAGTCCCAGCTGCTTGGGAGGCTGAGGCAGGATAATTGCTTGATCCCAAGAGACGGAACTTGCAGGGATCCGAGATCGTGCCACTGCACTCCAGCTTGGGTAACAGAGTGAGGTTTCATCTCGGAAAACAAAACAAAACAAAAAACAAACAACAACAACAACAAAAACAAAAACAAAACAGTGTATAAGCGTTCATTTTTCTCCACAACCTTGCCAGCATCTGTTATTTTTTGATATTTTAATAATAGTCATTTCAACTGGTGTGAGATGGTGTCTCATTGTGGTTTTGATTTGCATTTCTTTAATGATCAGTGATACTATGCTTTTTTTTTCAAATGCTTGTTGGCTGCATGTAGGTACAAACCACTGCTCAAAGAAATCAGAGATGACACAAACAAGTGAAAAAACATTCCATGCTCATGGATAGAAAAAGTCAATATAATTAAAATGATCATACTGCTCAAAGCAATTTATAGATTCAATGCTATTCCCATTAAACTACCATTGATATTTTTCACAGAACTAGAAAAAACGATTTAAAAATTCATATGGAACAAAAAAAGAGTCCAAATTGCCAACACAATCCTAAGCGAAAAGAACAAAGCTGGAGGCATCACGCTATCCAACTTCAAACTATACTACAGGGTTACAGTAACCAAAATAGCATGGTGCTGGTACAAGAATAGATGCATAGACCAATGAAACAGAATAGAGAATGCAGTAATACGACGACACGCCTGCAATTATCTGATCTTCAACAAACCTGACAAAAAAAAAAAAGAAATGCAAATTCTTCATTGCCAATCAAATCTACTAGAAATAAAAACAAAACAAACAAACTAGCAAAGAAAACTCTCTGTGGATGGGGCCTCAAGCTTCAGAAGTGGTGACTTCTTTGTGAACTACATTAGGGAATTATATTGCACACAATAAAAAAAAATCTGGATTCTGAATCAACA
The DNA here is from genome assembly GCF_000001405.40 of Homo sapiens. Classification (NCBI taxonomy): domain Eukaryota; kingdom Metazoa; phylum Chordata; class Mammalia; order Primates; family Hominidae; genus Homo; species Homo sapiens. The sequence continues at coordinate 20,884,793 of NC_000005.10, read as the reverse complement.
CTAGTAGGAAAACTGTGAACCAGGAACAACCACATTAAATGGTTATTTTAGAAACAAATTTGTTTTTGTGTTTATTCACAGATAGTTTTAATTAATACCTGGAGTATCAATCAGAGTTCCTCACAAAAACAGAACCAATAGGAGGGGTGTTTGTGTATGTGTGATTTGTTTTAAGGAATTGTCTCAGATAATCATGGGAACTGGCAAGTTCAAAATCTGTACAGCAGGCAGGCAGGCTGGAAACTTGGGAAAGATTTTACAATGCAGTCATGAGGCTAATTTCTTCCTTTCTAGGAAACCTCAGCTGTTGCTTTTAAGACCTTCAAATAATTGGATGAGGTCCAACACATTAATGAGAGTAATCTCCTCTACTTAAAGTTAACTAATTGTAGCTGTTAACCACATCTATGTAATACCATTTCAACAACACACAACTTTGTTTTTGTTGTTGTTGTTGCTTATTTGTTTGTTTGAGACAAAGTCTTGCTCTCATTGCACAGGCTGGAGCACAACAGCATGATCTTGGCTCACTGCAACTGCCACCTCCCTGGTTCAAGTGATTCTCCTGCCTCAGCCTCCCAAGTAGCTGGGACTACAGGCGCCTGCCACCATGCCTGAATAATTTTTGTATTATTAGTAGATACGGGGTTTCACCAAGTTGGCCGGTCTGGTCTCAAACTCCTGACCTCAGGTGATCCGCACCGCCTTGGCCTCCCAAAGTGCTGGGATTATAGGTGTGAGCGACCGCACACAGCTGTAAATTTGTTTTTTATTAAATAACTGGATACTATATGGCCTAGCCAAGTTGGCATGCAAAATAGTCATTACAACCAGCTAGCATTATCTTAACTAATAGAATCGTTTTACTGTCTTCCTTAACAAATTCCATTTTCCCACATGATAGCCAGAGTGATATGTGGCCTACACTTTCTTCCCTCAGCTTAAAAATCCTCAGTGGCTTTTCTTGCATTATTTAATTATTAAAACTCCATTATTCAAACTGAATCTCAGGGTCCAGCAATATTTGGCCCTTGTCTACTTCTCCAACATCATCCCAAAGTATTCTTCTCTCTTTCTTTGCTAGCTTCCATATATATACATGCATACAAATATAACAGTTTCTAGAATGTGATAAAGTGTTTTCTGTAATAAGATCTTCCTTTATGTGGCTCACTTTACTAATAATGTTTTCCTTCTTAACTCTTTACCTAATTCCCATTCAACTCCTATTTCATCTTAAGTGTTATTGACTGAGTGTTCCCTAACTCTCCATTTAATTAGGCACTTCATTTTATTTTTATTAAGAACACTTTGTGTAGTTATATATATGTTTATGTGTTTAATGTTTAATTTTACAATTACTCAGAAGGCTGAATGAGAGCAGGAAACATGTCCTTATGTGGCCTATATTCATTATCATTTTATACTATTATTAGCAGGGAGACATCACTTATTTTTCTGAGAGAACTGAGAAATAGCTTATCTAGCATTACGTTATACAATCAGCTGAGGGGTTTGCTGAGGGGAAAAGGAATACAGAATGGAAGAAGGAATACAGTAGTGGAAGAATGTATTTAGAAATATCAGCTACACCAAGTAACCAGTTACAATTGTTTGTGTACGTATATTAAGCAAACATTGCTTTACTTCCGCTATTCTTCCCTTATTATGTAACACAATGTGTATTGATTTAAATCATAGTATTTAGGTATTGCTAGTGCATTTTCAGTTGTATGCAGGCCGGTTGTCTCATGTTAAGTGGAAGTATGACCTTGTTATTGTCCTTTTTTAGAGATTAAATATGGTTTAAGGAGATGCATATGGATGCCAGAAGGACAAGGGGTGGACTTGTGATGGTTAATTTTATGTGTCAGTGCATTGGGACCACAATGCTCAAATATTTGGACAAACATTCTGTAGGCTTCTGTAAGGGCATTTTTAAGTGAGATTAACATTTAAATCAGTAGATTTAAGTGAAGCAGATTGCGCTCCATAATGTGGGTAAGCCTCATGCAATCATCTGAAAGCCTGAATAGAACAAAAAGACTGACGTCCCATGAGCAAGAAGGAATTCTGCAAGCAGATGGACTTCAGACTTCTACTGCAACATCATTTCTACTGGGGTGGCCTGACAGTGTCTGCCCACCTTGCAGATTTTGGACTTGCCAGCCTCTATAATCACGTAAACCAATTACTTAAAATAAATCAATGTCTATGTATATCAATGTCTACATCTATGCACATCCTATTCGTTCTGTTACTCCTGGAGAACTCTGGCTATTAAATGCAGAGTTTGTAAAACACCTGAGCTTATATATATGCTCAGATGTGTAAATGAATGCTGTTTATTGGGAAGAAGTCTCAATGGCCTGTTTAGATACTCAAAGTAGTCTGATCTGAATTATGTCTAAGAATCTTGCCTAAATTGTCTCTCTATTTAGCAACATATTAATTATATCAATAAACCTGGAAGGCAAATTTTTACGTTCTGAATTGATCTAGAAAGTACGATCCCCAGTGTATCACTTATTTAACTGAAGCAGCGGCAATGCCTCGGTAGTACTTTTCCAAGATAAATGTATAGCATTTCTTCAGTGTGATTTCAAAAGAGCATGAGACCTGTACATCCTTCAGCCTCAGTCCACTCTTTAGTCTCGATTTCCTGACAGGAAATGCTTATGGAAGAACTATTTACCTACTCATACAGTTCAATTTACTTCTGAAGTATGAAAAATAAATTTTCATGCATAGGGTGTGTGAAAGCTAGGATTATGAAAAACAGTCTCTAAAACTTTTTAATTAGTGTGTGGGTGAACAGAATACACCTTACAGACAAATTACAGTATTTATCCATGAAAGTTAAGCATGCTGGTGAATCACCAATTTCTTTTAATTCCAAAAATTTAAAATACAAACTCCATATGCCTTTCATTACAGGTATGAAGAAAGAGAGAAATAAGAAAAACAAATTTTACTGCCGTATAACTATTTTACATATCTAGTATCTAAAATACCTACAAAAATGTAACTGCAGAATCCAGAAAGTCTTAACCTCTATCAAGCTGAGAGCGTGAAACTGGTTCTCCTATCAAGTTCACACAACTCTTTCAGAGTACTTCCCATGACACTGTCTCAAGTGTGCTGCAGACTAAGCCTCCTCGGTTAGGTTCTTTCAGCCCGACATCATCGTGCTCCCTCTTATATTAAACCACTTCATCCCCATCATATGCTGACAAAAATTGTAATCCGTGATCTAGTAGAAACAAGTGTGTGTGATTTCATCATTCCTTTGAGATACTTTAGATTTGTCAGAAAAAAATGCTATTACCATAGCTCACAATGAGATTTCCCTAAGTTTTGCCCTCAAATTTTATTTCCTTACAGGATTTCTAAATTGCAAGTGTGTTCTTGTTCTTTTCCTACTGGAAATAGTGCACAAATGCAGGCAATAATGGGCTCTACTTGTTTATATAAAGTGTAAATTATAGAATTTTCACTTCATGTGTTAAAAATAAACCATTTGTAAGAAATTCATCTTTCGTTTTTATATACATAATTCAAATAAAAGCACAACTTTACAAGTATCTTCATTTCCCATGTTCATTTTGACAAGGTTATTATTCACCTCCCCTAGTAATTTATTTTCCTTTATCTTTATCTTTCTGTCACAAAGAATCCAGAAAAAAAAAAAAAACGACTATAGTATTACATTTCTCAGTGTTTCCTTGAATATAGTGTTTCAAATTATCAATCAAACTAAGGTTAATATTTCTTCCAAAGTCAAAATTTGTATTGAATTAAAAGAATAGAAGAGAAAGAAGCCAACTATGGAATTACAAAATGAAGCTGATAATTTATTGAACAGTTTTAGGTTTTCGCATTCATAGACTTTCCTCTTGCCCAATATAAAGGCCATTTCAAACAAATTATTCTGTGAATAAATGCATTAGTCGTGGTTCAATTCAAAGCGTCTATTACGCATTTCTTCAATGAGTCATTTTTTGTTATATATTTATTTAAGTTGCCTATAGCCCCAATAAATTTGTTCTCTTACAGTTCATGAAATATATGGCAATGAGGTTGAAAGTATGTCTTTTACCTTATTTTTATTTCTAACCATTTCTCAAAGATTCAAAATATGAATCATATCTATTGGAACCAATTTGACAATTCTTCTTTAAAGGCAATCTTTATGACTCTTAATTTATTTGAATGACAAAGTGATCACTATGTAAATGATAATTATAGAAAGCATTCAAAAGGGAAGGCTTTTAAAATAATTTATATTTAATGTTCTCTAATGTAACATTAACAAAAATAAATTTTTATAGGACCTATTGGTTGCATAGAAAAAATTATAAATTAATAGATGTATCTAAAACTAATGAAAGGAAATGAATATGAATTGTTAGCTTTCAATCAAAGCAAGTGAACACCAGAAAATATAGAAAAAAGCTTAATTACTTCCTGATTCAACAGAGTTCCTCTAAAATGGTAGTAATATTTTTGATAAAATCTATAATACACTTATGATACATTTCTATTTTATAGTAAATTTTTACATTTGTCATATTTTAATCTGACTACCTCATAAATAAAAAATCAGATACTTAAATATATCTGTTTTCAGAACATATTCTATATAAATATAATCTTATCAATTTTGAATGTTAGGTTCAGGGATGAAAGTTTTTAAAAGGCTTTCTATTTCCTTTCTTACTTTATCCTTTTTGGGGGAAAGTGTTAAGTTGGATAAAAGGTCTATTTTCTCATACAGAGTAATTTTCTTAAACCTATACATAGTCTTTTAACACATAGTTTTTTTACTTGTTTTGTTATTGTTATTGAATAAGACATATTCTTGAGCTTGATGATATATTACAATTCTATACACCAAGGAAATTACTATGTTTCTCAAGACACCTAGCATTGCCCTGACCCAAGATACTTTCATGCTCTTTTTCAGTTACTGACTTCCAGATCTATCACCATAGATTCATTTGCTTGTCTTTGAATTTCATATAAATTGTATCATGCAGTATGTACTTTTCTGTATCTCATTTCTTTAACTCAATATATTTTAAAATGTTGTCTGCAGTTTGCCTATTTTTTTTGAGTAGTATTCCTTCCTATTAATATATAGCATAATTTGTTTATCTATTCATTTGTTGAACATTTGATGCAATTCAGGTCTGTTATGAATAAAGTTGTTATAATCATGCCTGTCTGTGCATGTCTTCTGGTGCACACAGGCATTCATCTCTTAAGTATACACTTCTCGTTGGAGCATCTGGGCCATAATTATCTAATGCTCAATTTTATAAGGCACTAAAATAGGGTTTTCCAAAATAAATGTACAAAGTTTTATTGTCACCAGAAAGGTATGAGTGTTTCTGTTGGTCTACATCTTTCATAACACCCAGATTGCCTGCAAAAAAAAAAAAAATTTAGGCATTTTGATGGGAGGGGAATACAGTAGAATAATATTTTGGTTGTAATTTGACTATCTCTGATCACAGATAATGTCAAGTATATTTCACTGACAGAACATTTGTAAATTCTTTTTTAACAAATGCCCCCTAAAATATTTATTAGACTGACTGTTTTTTTCTTATTGATTTGTATGAATGATTTACCTATTATGGATACAATGTTGATTTCATATATGGCTATTGAGAAACCTACCAGTCTGTGACTTGTCTTACATACTCACTTTATTAATGTTGTCTTTTACTTAATTCTTAAATTTTGTGTAGTTCAACATATCCTTTTTAAAATCTAGTGATTTTAACATATTTATTTGGACAAAATTTACATAAAATTAAATCACTTAAAATTTACATCTTAAGTCTTGGTCAGTTAATAAAATCATGTAATCAAAATCACACTTAAGGTATATCAATTGTATCACCCCGTCGAGTTTCCTCATTCTCCATTGCAGTCAGCTCAATCCAAATATCTACAGTCCAGGCAAACACTAATCTGCTTTCTATCACTGTAGGTTTATTTTGTTTGGAAATTTATATTCACAGAGTCAAGAGGTATGTCATCTTTTGTATTTTTTTTCAATTACCATGACATTTTTGAGGTTCATCCATGTTTCTGTGTGTATTAGTAGTTTTCCCTTGCTGTGGCTGAATAGTAATCCACTGTACAGATATACTGCATTTTAATTGCCCATTCACCTGTTAATTTTTGGATTGTTTCTAGTTTTAGACTATATGAATAATGCTATTAAAATACATTAATCAAAAGTCATTTTGTGGTCAGATGCCTTCATTTATAATGAAGAGATGTCAAAAAGCGTGATGGTTTGTAACCGTATTGTAAGTGTATATTAGCTTTATAAGAAACTCCCCAACTCATCTGCAGTGTGGTTATCCCATTTTGCATTCTCAGTAACAATGCCTGAGTCATTAATATTTTCAGCTGTTTTAATTTTTATCACTCCTATACTGTGAAGTTGTAGTTTGTTGAAGTTCTAACTTCTATTTCTTGAAGACTAGTGACATCGAGCAGTGTTTTACAAGCTTTTGAATATTAACATATTGTCTCTGTGAAGAGTTTTATTAAGCATCTGATATTTTTAATTGTTTTTTTCTTTTATAATCAAATTAAAAGCATTGTTACATTACTTTTTAAATATTTTTGGATTTGTTATTTCCAACTGGTAACCAGCCTTTCATTTCTGGGATAAAATTCAATTAGCTATGATGCATAATTCTTTTTACATACTGCTAGACTTGATGTGTCTATATAATGGTAAGAATTGCTTTTTCCTTTCCAACATTTATTATAGAATCGAGGTACATGGCAGCTTTGATACATGGGTAAACTGCATGTTAACAGGGGTTTGATGTACAGATTATTTCATCACACAGTTAACAAGTGTAGTACACATTAGATCGTTTTTCAAACTTCACTCTTCTCCCACCCTCCAACCTCAAGTAGGCCTTTGTGTTTATGTTTCCCTTCTTCATGTCCATGTGTACTCACTGTTTAGCTCCCACTTAAAAGTAAGAACATGCGGTGTTTGGTTTTCTGTTCCTGCATTAGTTCACATAGGAGAGTAGCCTTCAGCTCTATCCATGTTGCTGCAAAGGACATGATCTTGCTCTTTTTATGGCTGCATAGTATTCCATGGTGCATATGTACCACATTTTCTTTATTCAGTCTACAATTAATGGGCATTTAGGTAGATTCCTTGTCTTTGCTAGTGTGAATAGTGCTGCAATGAACATGTGCATGTATGTGTCTTTACGGTAAAATGATTCATATTCCCTTGGGTATATAGCCAGTAATGGAATTTCTGGGTCGAATGGTAGTTCTGTGTTAAGTTCTTTGAGAAATCTCCAAACTGCTTTCCCACACACTGTGGCTGAACTAACTTAGAATCCCACTAGCAGTGTAAAAGCATTTCCCTTTCTCCACAACCTCACCAGTATCTGTTACTGTTTTTTTTTGTTTTGTTTTGTTTTTTTAATAATAGCCATTCTGTTTGGTGTGAGATGGTAGCTCATTGTGATTTTGATTTGTGTTTCTCTAATAATCAGTGATGTTGAGCACTTTTTTGTATGCTTCTTGGCCACATGCATGTCTTCTTTTGAGAATTTTCTGCTCATATACTCAGCTCACTTTTTAATGGGGTTATTTGCTTTTTGCTTGTTCAATCATTTAAATTCCTTTATAGTCTCTGGATATTAGGCCTTTGTCAGATCCATAGTTTGCAAATATTTTCAACCATTCTGTAGGCTTTCTATGTATTTTGTTGATAGTTTCTTTTGCTGTGCAGAGCTCTTTAGTTTATTTAGATCACATTTGTCACTTTTTGATTTTGTTGCAATTGCTTTTGGGGTCTTTGTTATGAAATCCTTATCAGAGCCTATGTCCAGAATGGTATCTCCTAGGTTTCCTTCTGGGGTTTTTATGGTTTTACGTAAACTATAAAACTATATAAACTCTATACCTATAGTTTGAGGTTTTACATGTCAGATTTTTTTTTAATCCATCATGAATTGGTATTTATATATGTTGAAAGGTAGGGATCCGGTTTCAGTCTTCTGCATATGGCTAGCCAGAACCGTTTATTGAATAGGGAGTCCTTTCTCCATTACTTGTTTTTCTCAACTTTGTCAAAGTTCAGATGGTTGTAGATGTGAGGCTCTATCTCTGTGTTCTCTATCCTATTCCATTGATCTGCATGGCTGTTTTTATACCACTACCATGATTTTTTTTTTTTTTCTGTAACCTTGCAGTATAATTTGAAGTCAGACAGTGTGCTACCTCTGGCTTTGTTCTTTTTGCTTAGGACTGCTTGGGCTATTCAAGTTTTTTTTTTTGGTTCCTTGCGAACTTTAGAGTAGTTTTTTCTAATTCTGTGAAAAATGACATTGGTAGTTTTACAGGAATAGCACTGAATTGCAAATTTCTTTGGGCAATATGACCATTGTAACAATGTTGATTCTTCTTGTCCACGATCATGGACTGCTTTCTCATTTGATTGTGTCATGTCTGAGTTCTTTCAGCAATATTTTGTAAGTCTTATAGAGATCTTTAACTTCCCTGACTAGCTGCATTCCCAGGTATTTAATTTTTTTCTATGGCTATTGTAAATGGGATTGTATTGTTGATTAGGCTTTCAGCTTGGATGTTGTTGGTATATTGTAATAATACTGTTTTTTGAGTAATTATTTTGTATCCTGAAATTTTTCTGAAGTTGTTTATCAGATCTAAGAGCTTTTGGGCAGAGACTATGGGGTTTTCTAGGCATAACATCATATCATCTGTGAAGAGAGATAGTTTGAATTCCTTTCTTCCTATTTGGATATCTTCTATTTCTTTCTCTTGTCTGATTGGTCTGCCTAGAACTTCCAGTACTATGTTGCATAGGAGTGGTTACAGTGGGCATTCTTGTCATGTTTTAGTTCTCAAGGGGAGTGGTTTCAGTTCATTTTATTGGATTCCTTATTCAGTATGATATTGGTTGTGGATTTGTCACAGGTGGTTCTTATTTTTTAGAGGTATGTCCCTTCAATGTCTTGTTTGCTGAGGGTTTTAACATGAAGAAATGTTTGAATTTCTCTAAAATCTTTTTCTCATCTATTAAGATATATTATGGTTTTTGCTTTTAGTTCTCTTTATGTGATATATTACATTTATTGATTTGCATATATTAAACAAAACTTGCATCCCAGGAATAAAGCCTATTTGATCATGATAGATTAGTTTTTAGTAGTGCTGCTGCATTTGGTTTGCAAGTATTTTGTTCAGGCTTTTTGCATCTGTGTTCATCAGAGATATTGGCCTGAAGTTTTCCTTTTTTGTTGTGTCTCTGCCAGATTTTGGTACAAGAATAATGCTGGCCTCAGAATAAGTTAGGAAGAAGTCCCTATTCCTCTTCATTTGTTTTTGGAATTGTTTCAGTAGGATTGTTCCAGCCCTTCTTTATACAATGGGTAGAATTTAGCTGTGAATCGTCTAGTCCAGGAATTTTTTTCAGGTTGGTAGGCTTTTTATTACTGATTCAATTTTCATACTCATTACTGATGAGCATGGGGTTTCAATTTCTTCCTGGCTCACACTTGGGATATCGTATGTTTGAAGGAATTTATCCCCTTCTAAGTTTTCTAGTTTGTGTGTATAGAAGTGTTCATAATAGTCTCTGAGGGTTGTTTTATATTACTGTGGGGTTGGTGGTAATGTCTCCTTTGTCATTTCTGATTGTGATTATTTGGATCTTTCCTCTTTTTTCTTCTTCTTATTATTCTAGCTAGCAGTCTATCAGTCTTATTTATTCTTTCAAATAACAAATTTTCGTTTCACTGAATTTCATTCAGTTCAGCTATGTTTTGGGTTATTTTCTTCTGTTTTGCTAGCTTTGGAGTTGGCTTGCTCCTGTATTTCTAGTTTCTCTAGGTGTGATGTGAGGTTGTTGTATGTATGTATGTATACACATGTTAGAAATATATATATATATTTAATATATATTATAGAAATATATAAAAAGAAATGTATAGTTAGAAAATGTGTGTGTTTAGCACTATAAGCTTTTCTCTTAACTTTCACAAAACAGAAATCATACCAGCCACAATCTTGGACTACAGAGCAATATAAATAGAAAGTATTACTAACATGGCCTCTCAAAACTATGCAATTACATGGAAATTAAAAAACCTTCACCTAAATGAGTTTTGGGTAAACAATGAAATTGTATCTGCTTTAGCTATGTCCCAGAGATTCTGGTATGTTGTATCTTTATTTTCATTAGTTTCAAAAATTTCATTATTTTTGCCTTAATTGCATTGTTTACCCAAAACTCATTTAGAAGAAGGTTGTTTAATTTCTATGTAATTGCATAGTTTTGAGAGATCATGTTAGCAATGCTTTCTATTTATATCGCTCTTTAATCCAAGATTGTGGCTGGTATGATTTTGCTTCTTTGAAAGTTGTTGAGAATTGTTTTATGGTCAACTTGTGGTCAATTTTAGAGTATGTGCCATGTGCAGATGAGAAAAATGTATATTTTGTTGTTTGGTGCATTCTCTAGATGTCTTTTAGGTCCACTGGGTCAAGTGTTGAGTTTAGGTCCCAAATATATCTGCTAGTTTTCTGCCTCAATGATCTATCTAATATTATCAGTGGCATGTTGAAGTCTCCCACTCTTACTGTGTGATTATCTAAGTGTTTTTGTAGGTCTCTAAGACCTCGTTTTATGAATCTGGGTGCTCCAGTATTGGGTGCATATATATTTAAGATAGTTAAGTCCTTCCTTTGAATTGAACACTTTAACATTATGTAATGCCCTTCTTTGTCTTTTTTAATCATTGTTGGTTTAAAGTCTATTTTGTCTTAAATTAGAATAGTAACCTCTGCTCTTTTCCATTTTCTGTTTGCTTGATAGATTTTTTTCCATCACTTTACTTTGAGCCTATCAGTGTCATTGAATGGGAGATCGTTCTCTTGAAGACAGCATACAATTGGGTCTTGCTTATTTATTCAATTTTCTACTCTGTGCCTTTTAGGTGGGGTAAGTAGCCTGTTTACATTCAAACTTAATATTGATATGCATGGATTTAATCCTGCCAGCATGTTTTTAGCTGGTTGTTGTGCAACCTTGATTGTGTAGTTGCTTTAAGTGTCTATGTACTTAAGTGTGTTCTTGTGGTGGCCAGTAATGCTCTTTTGTTTCCAGTTTAGCACTCACTTAAGGGTTTCTTGTAAGGCAGGTCTGGTGGTAACAAATTCCCTTAGAATTTGCTTGTCTGAAAAGAATTGTATTCCTCCTTCACTTATGAAGCTTACTTTGGCTGGATATGAAATTCCTTGTTGGAAATTCTCTCTTTAAGAGTGCTCAATATTGGCACCCAATGTCTTATGGCATGTAAGATTTCTTCTGATAGGTTCACTGTAGCCTTATGGGTTTCCTCTGTGCATGATCTGCCCCTTCTCTCAAGCTGCCTTTAGTATTTTTTGTTTCAAAATGATCAAGAAAAATCTGATGACTACATCTTGGGGATGGTTGTCTTGTACAGTATTTCACAAGAGTTTTCTGAATTTGAATGATGAACACTCTAGCAAGGTTGGGGAAATTTTCATGAACAGTATCTGCAAGCAAGTTTTCCTATTTGCTTGCTCTCCCTCTCAGAGACACCAGTGATTCATAGGTTTGGTCTCTTTACACAATCCCATGTTTTTCAGAGTTTCTGTTCATTGTTTTTTATTCTTTTCTCCTTATTCTTGTCTGACTTAGTAGATTTGAAGAATCAGCCTTGAGCTCAGAGATACTTTCCCCAGCTTGATCTATTGTGCTGTTAATATTTTTGATTGCATTATAAAATAGTTGCAGTGAGTTTTTCAGCTCTATTGGATCAATTGGTTCTTTCTTAAAATGGTTACTTCGTTTTTGAGCTCTTCTATCATTGTATTGGATTCCTTAGATTTCTTGGATTAGTTTTTTACTTTCTCCTGAATCTCAATGATCTTTATTGCTATCTAGATTCTGAATTCCATGTCCATCATTTCAGCCATTTCAGCCTGGCTGAAAACCATGGCTGGGGATCTAGTGTAGTCATTTGGAGTTAAGAATGCACTCTGGCTTTTTGAGTTGCCATAGTTCTTGCACTGGTTCTTTCTCATCTGTGTGGGCTGATGTTTCCTTAATCTTGAAATTTCTGGGCTTTCGATTGAGTTTTAATATTTTTATTCTTTGATGTCCTCGAGGGTTTCACTGTAATGTAACACAGCTGAGTCAAAAGAGTTGACAGTTCAGTCAACCCCCTTTATTTCTGGATGATTTCAGAAGGCCAAGTTTCAGCTCAGCGCTCCCGAGCTGCATGCTCAATCCCTGGGGGGCTAGTACCGGGCCTACAACTTTGTTCTCTGACCATTTCAGGTTAAGCACCTGGTTTGCTGGAGGGGCTGAGGTGTTCCAAGTGTGTTGGCAACAACACTCCAATGTGGACATTCTAACACAAGTGTTTAATCAGGGAAGGGGCAACATGGTTCATGCTGTGTACATGCTCTGGTGGCAGTGGGGGGACAATGTGGAGGGGTGCATGAGCACTGAAATGGGGCAAGGCAGGTATTTGTTACATATGTTTATAAGTGGTATTACATAGCAGTCTTCATTTCCTGTAATATATTTGTCTAGTCTTGCTACTAAAATAATAATTCCTTTATAATAATAATTCCTTTAGCGAGTACTTCTCTTTTCTCTACTGGCTTATATAGTTTGTACGGATGTGGTATCATTTCTATCTTAATGTTTGATAAAATTCACCAGTGAAGACCTCTGGACTCAGATATTTTATCATATAAGGACATCTAAGTATGAACTCAATTTATTTAATTAATCTAGGTTAATTCAAATTTTCTATTCCTTTTTAAATCCTTGTTGACACATTGTCACTGTCATTGCTTTTTGTGACTTTATGTAAGGTTGCATCCAGTATAGCCACTTGCTTCATCCACAGCATGAGATTTAAGAGGAGAGAGAGAAAGACAGACATGTCAAAACTACAGTCTTTTATAATTATACACTAGTTGAATAACATTTGGCAGCTTGCTTCACTCAGAGGAAGATTTAAGAGGAGAGGGAAAGACACAGATGTCAAAACTACAGTCTTTCATAATTATACACTAGTTGAATAACATTTGGGTTGATTCCAGTTTGAAGTAACATACTATCATTTGTACATATGCTACTTGTCAGACAGACAAATTCTAGTAAAATAGTTAAAGTGATTAAAAGAGGTTTCAAATACAAGGAGGCAGAGGTCATTGGGCATAATCATGTAGGATGGCTAATAAAACATCTTTACTGATTTTGTTTCAAACTTCTCTCATTTTTTCCTGATGGAAGTGAATAAAGCTCTCCAAATAAAAATTAAAAACTTCTATTTCTATATTCAATTCTGTCAAGTTTTTCTGCATATATTTCAAGCTCTCTTTTAAGGCTATACAATCTTTCACATATTTTCCCTGTGTTTTTCATTTTTAATATAATATACCCCTACTTATTTTTTATTAATAATACTTTGGCTTAAAGTGCAGTTTATTTGATATTAATATAATCATTCTGACTTTTGTTTTTGTTCACTATTTTCATAATATATCTTCCCCCCCATTGATATCTTGCCTGAGATCATTTTGTATAGCTATTTATTTTTGGTTTATTGATGTATTATTTACAAACAGTAAAGTTCATTGTTTTATCTGCAATCCTAGAAATTTTGATAAATGTATACATTTATAAAGCCTCCAACATAATCATGCTATATAGTTCTTTCGTCAAACTCAAACCTTTAGGCAATTTTATATATCTCGCCCAGTGATTGCCAATGAACATTCTATTTACTGCAGTGATAAATTTGCCTTTTCTAGAATATCATATTAATTGATCATACATTATGTAGTCTTTACATCTACTCTCTTCTTATTTTATAAGATTCATCCATGCTGTTGTGTGAATCAATTCTTTCTTTCCAAAATACTATATTATTGCAGAAGAGTGAACTATTTTGTTGTAGATACTATACTGTCTGTTTATTCAAACACCCATTAAAGCAATTTTCATTGATTCCAGTTTTGAGTGTTTATAAATAAAGTCATCACAAACAATCATATGCAAGTTTTTTTGAACAAAGCTTTTTGTTTCTGTGTGTATATATGTCATGTGGATTATTGGATTATATGGTAAGATTTTATTTATATAGGAAGCTGCTAAACTGTATTTTTTTCAAACTAGTTGTACCATTTTCACTTCCATTAATAATATATGAGATTTTCAGTTGCTCCACATACACCAGCACACGATGCTATATTTTTAAAGTAACTCTAATAGGTGTTTAATGCTATCTCATTGTGGTTTTAATTTCCACTAATGTCTAATTATCTTGCATATGACAAAGTGCCTATTCAAATGTTTGGCATTTTTATAGTGTTTTAAAAATGTTAATGAGTTTGAGAGTTCTCGATACATTATAGATACAAATCCTTTTATATCTATTTATTTTTGAATATTATCTCCCTATCTGTGGATTAAAATTTATATTTTCTGTGAATTATACTTTATATTTTTAGCCCTATATTTTGAAGAGAAGTTTTTCATTTTTAAAGGCACAATACATCATCGTGTGCAGGTTTTCTATGTTTATTTCCTAGAATTTTAAAGTTTAACATTTAACAGATAGATCTATTTTGATTCATTTTCCTTTACATTTTTGATGTATTATTAATGGTATATGTCAAGGTTTTTTTGCAGATATGCATAACTATTTGTTTCAGTATGATTTGTTAAAAGTAATTATCCTCATTTTATGAATTGCTTTTGCACCTTGTAAAAATTCTTTTGACTACATATGTTTGGAGCTATTTCTGAATTCTCTATTCTGTTCAAGTCATATATTGAAACAACTTTTGCCAACATCACACTCTTATGACTACTGTCACTTTATGATAAGGCTTAAAATTAGGTGAAGTGTGTAATCCAACTTTGTTCTTTTTCAAAATTGTTTCAACAAGTCTAGTTGCTCTCCTTTTGCATACGCATTTTGGAATTAGCTGGCATATTTGAACAAAAACTCCGAACAGAAATCTGATAAAAATAAATTGAATCTATGTCAAATTTGGAAATAATTCACATCTTTAGAATTATAAACACAGTATAACTCTTGATTTCAAGTGTACCTTAATTTGTTTCATCAATATTTTTTACTCTTTAATATGTATATTTGCAGAAATGTTTAAGATTTATACTGAAATACTTCATGTGTTTTGATTATAAAAACCAAAAATAATAGCTTCCTAAGATTTAAAAAATAAAAACTTGGCCGTAATCAAAAGTATTTTTACATTTGCCAGATTCCATTTGATATTTTGTGAAACAGTTAATATTTAATATTTATCATTAATATTTAATAACATTTAATAATTTTAATAGTTAATTTTATTAATTTAAATTTATTTAAATTAATAAGTGTATTTAATATTTAATTTATTAATTTAAATTTATTAATATTAATTTTAATATTAATAATATTTAATAATTAATATTTAAATAAGGAGAAATAATGATCTTCAGTTTTCATTTGTCTTTCTGATTTTGTATCAGGTGGTCAAAGTATATTCTCTTACCATTAATACATGTAACTAGTTCTTAATATCAGAAAAATTCATGAAAATTTCTCAAGTAAATAAAAATCAGACAACTTACTTATAAGTCTCAGTCATCAAAAAGAATGTTAAATGGAAAACTAGAATGTATCACGAACTGAATGGCAATTAAAACACAGTGTACATAATCTTGTTGCTAAACCAGCTAATTTAATATCACTCAATGCTTGCATTAAAAAAAAAACTGTCTCAAAAATGTAAGTTAACACCATAGAAAAGGTAAAAAAAAAAAAGAATAAGCCCCAAACAAAGAAAATGATAGAAACAATAAAGTTAAGAGACTAAATTAATTTAAAAAATTAAAGAGAACAAGAAAAAAAATCAGTGCAACCAATGCTGCTTCTTTGAAAATATCAATAAAAATGACAAATTTCTATCATGCTGCCCCCAAAAGGATGTGTAATAAAGGGACACATTACTACATATCCTACAGACCTTGAAGGAGAGAAAAATAGAATGTCACGAAGAATGTCATTTATGCCCATAAGTATAATATAGAAACTATTTGAAAGGGATACCTTAAGTTAAAGACATAAATGACCAAAATTCATTCAATATACAGTATATAACGTGACTAATCCTTTGTTAACTAAAGAAAGAAATCAATACTTAAAAGCTTTCAGCAAAGGACAAGGTAACAAGCTCCTTTAAAAAAATTTGCCTGTAAGTCATTTATATTTAATGTCATTATTTATATGATTTGATTAAGTAGTCCATCTTGATAGTTATTTTCTTTTTGTTATTCTCACTTTGTTTCTTGTACTTTTTTTTGTTTTCTTTCTTCAGTTGGGTCAACTGAGTAATTTTTCTGATTTATCTTCTCTGCATTCTTTTAACTTATTTAAAAAAATTATTAGCATATACTTTTGGGATTACAATATATGTATTTTTGGCTAATAAATCTAGCTTCCATTTTTATTATACTACTTCACTCATACTGTCAGAATCTTAGGAAATTATATATTCAATTACTGCTATACATCTTTTATTCTATCTGTGCCACACATTGTTACGTATGTTGTAAAACTATCCTGCATTACGATTGTTGCTTTACACAGGTGTAAATAAACTATGCAATCTATCATCAATGGGACAAATTCAACAGTATCTAATTTTCTTTGTATGCTCAATGTGCTAAGTACATTTTTTACATATCTAAAGAATTGAAAAAAGAGGATGAAGAAGAATAGAAAAAAGAAGGAGCCACCCCGGAAAAGGAAGAAGAGAAAGAGGAACGAGAAGGGGAGAAATGAATATAAATATATGTGAGGCATATACGAGGCACATACATACACATATATATTTCTCCGTATGTGGACACTAAAACCTAACATATTTATCTCATCCTTTAATAAAAAGGTTTGCAAAGCCTCACCTTAGATGTAATTTATTTTTAGTGATTAACATTAAAAAAATAAAGATATTTGCTATGGTCTGTATGATTCTGTTCCTCCAAAATTCATATGTTGAATCCTAAGCACTAAAGTAATAGTGCTACAAAAGGGGTACTTTGAAAAGCTATTAGGTAATGACGGCTAAGCCATCATAAATGGAATTAATGTTTTTATAAAAGGGGCTCCTGAGAGATACCCTGCCCCCTTCAACCTTGTGATGAAACAGCAAGAAGTACCACAGTCTACAACTTGGAATGTGACTCTCATCAGAACCAGAAAATGCTGGCATCTTAATCTTGGACCACCCAGGCTCCAGAACTGTGTGAATTAAATTTCTGTTGCTTATAAGCTACCCAGATAATTGCATTTTATTATAGCAGCCACAAAAGACTAAGATAGTTGTTTAACATTTATAATTATTCTAACAATTTTGAGACATTCATTATTTATATAGATTCAAATTTTGTTCAATAGCATATTGCTCCAGCTTAAATAATGACTAAATACTTTTTGTATCACATTTTTACTCATCATTAATTCATTAAAATTGTTGCTTGTCTGAGTATTTTTTTGTCCTTTATCATATGTATTTTTAGTGAGTATAGAATATGGGACTGACAGGACTGACATTTTTTTCTTGTATTGCTTTAAATATGTCACTCTATTGTCTTCCGACGTATATATTGCTTCGGATTTGCAAAAACAGAAAATTTACTGGAGCTTATCTTTTTTTCTCATTATGACATTTTTCTTTTCCTTCAAGAAATTGTGTTCATCTCTGATTTTAGAGGGTCCTTGTATTTATTATATTTATGGCTCTCTAAGCTGCTTGGATCTGTGGTTTGACATATTTCATTATTTGCAGAAAATTCTCACCATTAGATATTTCTCTTTCCCTTCTGGATTTCCAATTACATGTATGTTTTGCCATTTGATAGTTTGCCATATCCCTGGATGCTTTCTTCTTGTTCATTTGCTTATCCTGCCTGTATTTCACTTGGGTAAATTATAATAATCTGTCTTCAGGTACACTGAATCACTTGTTGGCTGTCTTCAGCCCATTGAATACATTATTCACCTCTCTTAGTGTATTTTTGATTTCTACTGTCTATATTTAGTTCTTTTTCAATTTCCATCTCTCTGTTGAAATTCTCCTTTTTTATTCCTGCTGTCAATTTTTCACTTGAGTTTTAAACATACTATTCACTTTATTTTTATTTTTAAATTACTGTCTAATATTTCCAACATCCAACCAACTTTGTAATGTTGATTTTTGTCTTTTGACATTGTTTTTTATTGTTTCTCTTAATTCTTGTTAGATACTGGACATTGTGTACAGGATGATAATAACAGTAGTAAATAATATATGTACTTTGAAATACGCATGCTTTTTCTTCTGCTATGCTGTTACTGTGGGAGACACAGTTAGTTGAGTCAGCAGTTGATCTAGGTCCTCAGCTTGTTGTTGCTATTGTCAATTAAGGAATGACAAGGTTCATAAATTTAGAAAAAAGAGTTTTATTTCTCATAAATGGCTGCAGCCTGCCACATGGCCCTTCTAACAGACTGGGAAGCATAGCTTCCAGCCAGAAACCAAAAACAGATGATTCAACGGTGGGAGGAGTAAGACAGGAACATATATTCAATCAGCTATAAGAGGAGTCGCGAATATTTGAAAGGAGAAGCATGTGCATATGCAATTGAGCTTCATGCCTCCCCCATGGGACCCATGTGAAAAAAAAATGATGGTGTTAGCATAATCCAAGGGTGTGGATTTTGCCCTGTGACATCAAAAGGTGAAACAGGGATATGAAAACCATCTCTGCATCTCTGCATCTCCATAGACTGGCCAGAACTACTCTGTGGTCAGTGATCTCTTGTCAAGAAGAAATGCTGATCAGTTGTTTTGTTGAAACCCTAAAAGTCAGGGGCAGCTGCCAGTCAGTTGGTTGATATTATCAGTAAAGTCTTTTGAAAGGGCTAGTTTCTGTTAGAAAGCCTAGTGGCTATCAGTGTGGAAGGGGTTATAAGGAGGTATGTTTTACCTCCCATCCAGTTATGTCTGAGAAATCAGTTTTCAAGGTTTCTCTGGGGTTCCTTTGCCCAAAAGGGAGTCTGTTCAGTGAGTTGTGAGGCTTAGAATTTTATTTTTATTTCTCACTATTATTAATTTCAGTACAAAACTACCCTCAAATTCTTCTAACATTACCTTGTACATAGAGTGAGGACTAGTTTGTCCGTGGGTGTTTCCTCAATATTCTTGCTCTACTATTACCTTTATACCTTCCCTGTATTCCCGTATCTTAGAGTCTCTCTCTAAATTTTTGTGTTTCCTCTGTCATATAATGCAATTTCTTATTACTTAAGGTTTGCTAATCTGGTAATGATAGGAATTACATATGTTCTCTGTTGTGCTGGTCAGCCTCTCTTAGTTTCTCTTTGCTCTGTGTTTCAAAGGAGGAATTTCTTGGTGATTTTTGCCTATCCTCAAATAATAAGAGATCTCTAAATGATCTGGGCTCAAATTATTTTTCTTCCTTCCTTTAGGAAATAGTTGGATTCCCACCCCACCTCCCCCCATCTCTGTAGTAGCAAATCTTCATCGCTACCCTGGGAGAAATAGTATTCGCTGTTTTTGTCTTTAGATTATTATTATTTTTTAAATGGCCATTTCTCTCTCATGTACCCTGTAACAGATGGGTATATTCTTGTGTCCCACCTCTCTTACAAAGTTTTTGGTGTATCCTGGGACTCTGGGCTTGATCTTTTCCCTTTAAACTCAATTCTAATAGTCTAAAGGAAAACCATTATCTTGCAAATCACTTCCAAATGTTATGGGTGGCAAGATGAGTGTGAGCCTCTTTCCAGCTTCCTACCTCATAGAGGGAAGCTAGAGGATCCATGTCTTTATATTTTAAGTGCATATCCTGATAGGGTATACAGAAGAATCTTGATTTTTGCTGTTTTATATTTGTTTCACCTCATACTTTTATTTCTTCATTTCTCCTTCTCTGCCTTATTTTTATTTTGCCAACATTTTAGTATACCATTTAGATTACATTGACATTTAACATTTAGCATTATTATTTGTATTAATTTTTAGTTATTGATCTAGTATTGATTGCAACATGCATCTTTATATTATCAGAATACAGTTGTATTTAATGTAGAATTACACCTAGTAAAAATTACTTAGCAGTCATATATTGCAATTACCACCATTTCTTTAAGCTATTTATATCACGTATTTCATCAATGCATGTTACAACAAGATGGTGTTATAATTTTAGCCTTATATTATCCTATACTTTACACAATTTAATATATGTATGTAACAGGGTTACATATCTATAATATAGAAGCTCTTTATATAACATATAACTAATAAATTATTTTTTGAAATGCGATATTTAAAAATAAATAGAAATGTTATTTGGATTATCTAGTTAATTGGAATATTAAAGACACAATATAATAAAATATTTTAAGAATGACAAATATTAAATGTATTTTATGCACAACAGAAACTTTTTTGTTTTTGAGACAGGCTTTTGCTTTGTCACCCAGGCTGGAGTGCAGTGGCACAATCATAGCTCACTATAACCTCAAAATCCTGGACTAAAGATATCTTCCCACCTCAGCTTCCCTAGTAGCTGGGACCACAGACATATACTTTCACGCCCAGCTAATTTTTTAAAAGTTTTTGTTCAGAATGGGTCTTGCTATATTGCTCAGGGTAGTCTCGAACTCTTGGCTTCAAGCAATCTACCAGTCTCAGCCTCTTGAATTGCTGGGATTACAGACCTGAGCCACTGTGCCCAGCAGGAACTTGTAATTTACAGGACAGAAGGTATGTTGACAGAAAGTTTATTTTCACTAGTATTAGCTAATGCTAATTAACTTTTGATAAGATATTAGTAAATTACAGTAAACCCTTGAAAACTGAAATATCTAGTGTCATGAGATAATTTATTTTAAAATGATTGAAGTCAAGTCTCAAATTCAAATGTTTCTTCTAAGTTTGTTGATACTATATTAGATTATTAAATACATTTCAGTGCAGCAAATTTTATTCATTAAAAATTTATAATATTTGACATAATAAATGTCACTAATTGAACTACAATGATTTAGAATGAATATAGTGGTAAACTACCAATTTTAATGCTCTATAAGATATATATTCAATTTATACAAATTAAAACCATTATATATTAGGTATATTGCTTGGCAAAATAGTGAATAGTATATTTAAGAATTAATTAAATGAATATATATGTGCTCACACACACACACTCACACATCTATCATGCCATGCCAAGATCACTAGAAATGACTTATCTCTTCTAACACAAATAATTGATTCATTTTGAACAATGGAATTGGAGCTCTCAAAAATAAGTTTAATAATGTTATGTTTTTCAAGAATCTCAATATTTTACACTCAATGTTAATCATGTATCACTATGTATTACTTTTCTGCTGCTGAAGTTAGTTGATCTAAGTGTCTATGGAGGTTAAATCACTTGATCTTCAGCAATTCTTCCATGGTTCTGGTCAGTCTACTTAACCTAGAAATTACTTCAAGGGAAGAGATTGTGAATCCTATCCTTTATGCCATTATTGGAATAGAGAAAATTGACAGCGATTTTATACAGTCATGATTCTGACACCTTTAAAGGTTAATTGAATGCAACCAACAAGAAATGGTAAATTAGCCAGAACTAGTAACGGTGAAGTTGTGGAGAGGAAACCCTTACAATATCAATTCTAAAGGGATGGGGAAAGAGCTGTTAATGCAGCTGGAAAAATAAAGGCAGCCGAGGGAGGGGGCTTCTGAAAGGAGTTGGGGAAATTCTCCCGCTACCAGACCTTCACTCCTCAGGTGAGAGCAAGAAGAACATGGACCTGAACTACCTTTCTCCACTGAAAGCCAGAAGGCAAGGGATTTGGATAATGCTGTGCATTGATGACAGACTTCAGGCACAACTGCAGGGCAGAGAGAAGAAATCGAGTGGTACATAGAAAATTACCAGAGCAGATTTTCTGGACAGTCATTTAGAAATGTAAGATTTAGCAAGGCATTTTATGATACAATTTAAGTAGCTTGTTGCAAATATATAATTTATCTCTTGCAATGCAAACAGCAAAATGTTTCAGTAGCACGCTAGCAAATCATTAAAGTTCACTAATTCTACTTTTTGAAGATGAAAAGGAAAGGAAAATTGCTAATATGGCCAAGTTCCAAAATATGCTTAACCTGTAAGCAAAGCTATAAAATAGATTTTTGTAATAAAAATAATTACTATTCCAGAAACGTTCTGAGACTCTAGAAAGCAAAAACTCATATAATTATATTATTTCTAATTTCAAAATATTTTATGACTGTGTATGTTTAATTTGGGCGCTATAGTAAATAACATATATATACTCTCCCACAGTTGCATAGTTCTTTTTCATGGATATATGGCAAAGGAATAAAATATTAATCACAAACCAGAATACAGTTTCAGAGTCGGTGACTTTCCCTCTGGAACATAAAAAATGATATTATTGAGAGACAATTATAATATAAAGGATGAGAACATTTCAAGGTAGACCCACGGGATATAGCAAAGAAAGGTCTCATTTGCATAAACAGAGTTGTATTAGGGAACGGATATAACAGGAAGAGTTGCAATAAACACAATTCATAAGCACTACGACAAAATGACTAATCAAACAAGTATACTAAAATACAGCAATAAAAGAGATTGCATATAGTCTAGTAAGAGAAAAGATAGATATTCAAAATTTATGGCTCTCATATTCCTTTATTCAAACTTTTTTGACTTCCAAAATGGTTTGAAAGATTCTAAAACCAAAAGTATATATAAAATTAAAATCCCTTTCTCCCTTTTTCTCTCACTCTTGCTGTGTATATGTATATGGTTATAAATAGAGATATAGATATATTTGTGTGCTGCATATGTATATAAATATATGTGTATCAGATTCTTTTTACCTGCCTATAATTGACTGATTAATTTTTAAAAGTTAGTTAGCAAAAGTGATAGTGTCAGCCAGGCACGGTGGATTACGCCTGTAATCCCAGCACTTTGGGAGGCCGAGGTGGGCGGATCACGAGGTCAGGAGTTCGAGGCCAGCTTGACCAACATGGTGAAACCCCATGTCTATTAAAAATACAAAAATTAGCCGGGTGTGGTGGCACACGCCTGCAATCCCAGCTACCGAGGAGGCTGAGGCAGGAGAATCGCTTGAACCCGGGAATCGGAGTTTGCGGTGAGCCGAGATCACGCCACTGCACTCTAGTCTGGGTGACAGAGTGAGATTGTCTCAAAAAAAAAAAAAAAGAAAAAAAAAGAAAAGAAAAAAATGGCAGTGTCGTTAGACAAATTGCCCAAGAAATTAGTTTAAATTAACTATAGAAACATGATGGTTTATTAGCTAATGAAGGAAGCATCCTTCAAGGAGAAATTGAGTATATTTCAGAAATATACCTATGAGCAACAACATTTAAGTAATAAGCTCTTTTAAGTTTAAATAAGATTGTGAAAGCTTAAAAAAACAGACAGTTGAAAATAAAGCCAATCAGAAAGCAATAAAGCGGCCGGGCGCAGGGGCTCACGCCTGTAATCCCAGCACTTTGGGAGGCCGAGGCGGGCAGATCATGAGGTCAGGAGATCAAGACCATCCTGGCTAACACAGTGAAACCCCGTCTCTACTAAAAATACAAAAAAATTAGCTTGGCGTGGTGGCGGGCGCCTATAGTCCCAGCTACTCGGAAAGCTGAGGCAGGAGAATGGCGTGAACCCGAGAGGCGGAGCTTGCAGTGAGCTGAGATTGCGCCACTGCACTCCAGCCTGGGAGACAGAGCAAGACTCCGTCTCAAAAAAAAAAAAAAAAAAAAAAAAAAAAAGCAATAAAGCAGGGGAAGTAAAAATCTAAAAATCGGCATCTTTAACATTAAGTATTACGTGAGTATTTTCAAAGGCAAATTAAACATTTTAAAGTACACGTCTGCATCTACCAAGTCACAAATCGAATATGAAGGTACAATAAAGTAATTTTCATATACCCACAATTAAAAAATATGCATCTAGGACTTTGCCTTTTGCAAGTTAATTGATATGGCTAGCAGCAAAATGTAATTAGTAAACCACGAAGCATTGAGACCCAGGTAGAAAACATTCGAACTAGCCTAAGAATTTTATGCCGGGGAGTCTAAATCATCAATATATTTAGGGAAGGGTTAATGCACAGCCTTGAATGCCTGATTAGAAAGCTTTGATTTGTCATTTGGTATGCAGAGAGACACTCAGAGAGAGAGAGAGAGTACACCAGACAGATAGAGGCTATGGTGCCAATCTTGGTACTACCATAGGCTACCTGAGTGAACTTTTTAAGTTATACTTATCCTTAAGTGTCTCGTGGGGAGGCTGGGATATATTTTCTGCAAACTTTTCATCATGCAGAAAGTCACAATGGACAGTAATGTTCTAGCCAAAGATTACAGATAATAAGCTAGTAAAAATATTAATATACCACATATTGCATTGTGCACAACCATGGGGAAAATTAAAAAGCACGATAGAGTTACAGGAGATGTGGGAGTGGTGCATAAATCATTTTATAATAATATTTAGTTAGAGTTTTGCTTCAAATATGATATTTGTGTATAGAGTTAAAGAAGAGAGATCAAGGTACACAGATATAACAGAGAAGAGTATTCCAGGCACAGAGATTGGCAGGTGCAAAGGTTCTAAGGTCAGAGCATGTTCAGTATATACCAAGAAAAGCATGAAGACCTTCCTGTCTGAAGAAGATCAAGTGTAGGAGAAATAAGAAGGGGATTTTGTAGTGTAGCAACAGTGAGAATTGATCAAATATACAATATATTCTGAAGAGACAAGAACACAGGCTGATGAAATAGATGTGATGTGTAATAGAAAAAGGAAGAGCAACTAAGGATTTCCAGATCATGGCTTGAAGAACAAGAAGGGTGGATAACTCATTAGCTTAAGGGAGAAAGTAAGATTAGCAGGTTCTTATTAGATGACTCCAATGAAACAATAGGTATGGGTCATGTTAATTCCAAGAATCCTATTTGATACCCAAGTAGAGAAGTTAAATCATGTTAAAGATCTATTTTAGGAGTTCAGAATTGAGATAAAAATGTAGGGCTTGCTAGCCTATAGAAATTACATCAATCATTTTAACAGCAAATATTACACAGGAAATCAGCAAAATTTAGATGATCAAGAAATGAGCCTTGGACTTCACCATCTTTTTGTCAAGAAATCAGTAAAGGCTTTTAATATATTGGACAAAATCAGGAGTGTGTGTCTTTCTAAAGACAGACAGAGAAACGATTTCAAGAGGGGACTGATCACTTGTACCAAACTCTGCTAACAGGTCAAGCAAAGTGGAGTTGAGGACCTGATCATTGGATTCAATAATGTGGAGATTATTGATGAGCTTCATAAGAACGGGTTTGTTGAAGTGAGGGTGAGGATGAAATCCTAACTGCAGTTACTGACCAAATCTGTGAAGAAAAAAAATAACCTATTCTCTCAGTAGATTGTTTCTTCATCTACATTCAGACACTAAAGATTATGTACTTTTCTGTATAAATAAAAGGGGCACAAATGCCATTTTTTACATGGATATATTGAGTAGGGGTGAAGTCTGGACTTTTAGTGTAACTAACTGTCATTCAAATAATGTAAATTTCCTCTATTAAGTAATTACCTTTTGCTTTACCATAAGCCTCTCCATTTTTTAGGTAAAATTATTTACTAGTTGCAATATATTCTCTCTTTTTTTCCAAAAATTATCACACCAGTTTCCTTATTTTCCTGTTTCCACTCTCTGCCATCAATGCACATGCATTCCAAAATTATCACATATACATGATTGCATCAGCCTGTGCATTTGTTCTTGATTTTTTCACTAACGGTTTAGCCCGTCACATTTTTCTACTGCTGTATTAATTTACAAAATGAAATTTTCTAGTTTGTCTTTTTTTTGTCAAAAAATAGCTTATGTTATGTCACCATCTGAAAATAATCTCACTTCTTTTTAACTGTATTTTTCCATTGAATATATTCAAAATTCTAATTTTAAAAATCCTCCATTGCAATTACATGTTTCTGCAATTGTAGTCCTGTCTCCTACCTATTCAAACCACATCTCAGAATAGTTTCCTAAAAATGCTGGCTTCATTTCCTCACCTATCTCTCTCTCCTTAACCCCGGACAATCTGTTTTGTATCCTATCACTTCTCTTAAATAGCACTTCTAAGATCTTCATTGATTTCTCCATCTCAAAAGCCAGTGGTCAATATCCTCTTACTTGACGTCTCAGCATTTATTGACCTTGTTGACTCTTCCTTGAAACGTTTGTGTGACATCACACTCTTGGCTTTCTCTTAACTTTCCGATTTATTCTTTCTTGAATTCCTCTTGACCTTATCTATACTACGTAGTCAAAATTTTGGTGATCCCTTTTCTTTTGTATTGCTTCCTAGCAAAGCTCATTGACTGCTCCAACTCCCATGACTATTGGTGAACAGATTGTGCATACCTTTCTATATATTCAGTCCAGGCTTACTGTTTTAACTTTGAAAATCCACATATTTCTTGAATGTCTATTTCAAAGGAACATCAGAGGTACATTAAGCTGAGTTTATGGTCCTCTTGCCTTAAAGGATTTTATTTTCTGGTCTTGTCCAGATTCCCTATCACAATGAAAAGAACCATCATGCCCCCAAATATCACAACTAGGGAACAAAGGAACCCTGGAATACTCTGTCTCTCTAATTTCTAGTTATCCAATATGTACTTTCAATTTTTAATTTTAAGTACTTCTTAAATTACTACATAGCTATCTATCTCCAAAGCACTTATTTGAAGCAACCATTAGTTCTCAACTAGTCTAGTGGTAAAGCATTTTAATTTGCTGACCTCCAATTCTCTTGTCCAAACCAACTCTTTACTGGAGAGTGAGTGCTTTATAATTAAAATGAACCTCTGATAATAATACATTTTCTCCTATTATTCATTTAAGTAATACCTCATTATATTTAGAATAAAAAACAAAGTTAAAAGCTCCTATAATATCTGAGACTGGCTTATTTTCCCTGTCTCCCGTGCAACAGGACAACACTTTCACCTAATTCTAATATTCTTGTGTCCTACTCTCACTTCTATCCATCTCAAATCTTTTTTCTTTAGGAAGTTCTTTGATCCTACTGATGAAGTTAGAATTCCTATTACACGTTCTCTAGCACTGTGCCTTCGGAGAATCATCTAACTGTAGTTTTAGCTATATTTGTGGGATTATATCATGCATTTCTACCTTCTTTCTAGATTATATATTCCCCAAAGATGGTGTTTCTTGTAATGTGAAGTATGTGTTACTAGTATTTGATATGGTATCTGGAATTCTAGTTTATAATAAATTATTGGCTTAATTAGTTAACCTCTAGCAATTAAATTATTTTACAATATGATGCTAAACTGCTTTTCTTCCTTTGTATACTATTATTCCTCTACATTTGCTCACTGAATAATAGAGATTATTTATTTTTCTGAACATGTTTCTTACTTTTCCACATTTTCCCATATATTTTATGCCGACTACAGAGCTGTCCAATTCCACTCTCTTTTTTCATCCTTTGACTTTTTCCTCAATCAAATTTCAAGGTCCACATCAAATACTACGTCATTATTATAATATTCATTCCTTTTAGTTTCTTATTTTTAAAAAATCTTTACAAAGGCATATATTAGTTCTCTAATTTTTAAAAATCTCTTCAGAGCCACAGTCTATCTTATGTTATAACAACTTCTATGCTTTTCTTATTTTCTTGTTTACCCCAAGGGAATTGTAAACTCCTTGAATGCAAAGACTGTTTCTTCTTTTGCTTTGTATTTCTGCAATATAAGTTTCAGTTTTTTGATGGTATAAATTAATCATTTTTTGTTATTGTTGAGTTTATACGTTCAAGGTCACAGAAGAAAGACAAGTATCAGAGTCCAGGTCACCTCACATCATTATACAAAGTAGTAAAATATTTCATGAAAATGTGTTACCAATATAATAAGAAGGCCATTATTTTAAAAAAACAGCCTCAAATAAAATGAAAATTAGGGGTATATTCTGAGTATGAATGTTTGTGTCCTTCCAAAATCTCTATGTTGAATCCTAACCCCTAAGGTGATGGTAGCTGGACGTGGGGCCTTTGGTAAGACAGCCCTCATGATTGGAATTAGTACTCTTATAAAAGATACCGCATCAGATCTCATGAGACTTATTCACTATCACAAGAAAAGCACGGGAAAGACCCAGCCCCATGATTCAATTACCTCCCACCAGGTACCCCCCACAACACATGGGAATTGTGGGAAGTAGCTTTCTTTCACTATGTGAGGACACAGGAAGAACTATGAAGCAGAAAGCGTGTCCTCACCAAATGCCACATCTGAAGCATATGATCTAGACTTTCCAGGCTGCAGAATTGTGAGAAATATTTTGTTGTTGTTTATAAGCTACCCAGTTTATGGTATCTTGTTAGAGCAGCCTGAATGGACTAAGACAATGTGCATGACAATTGTAATTTGTTTGTTATTAAATGATATGTATTAGTTCACTCTCATGCTGCTAATAAAGACATACCTGAGACTGGATAATTTATAAAGAAAAGAGGTTTAATTGATCAACAGTTCTGAATGGCTGGGGAGGCCTCAAGATCATTGTGGAAGGTGAAAGGGAAGTAAGACACATCTTATGTGGCAGCAGGCAAAAGAGAGCTTGCGCAGGGGAACTCCCCTTATAAAACCATCAGATCTCGTGAGACTTATTCACTATCATGAGAACAGCACGGGAAAGACCCAGCTGCACGATTAAATTACCTCCCACCAGATCCCTCCCATGACACATGTGAACTGTGGGAGCTACAATTCAAGATGAGATTTGGATGGGGACACAGCCAAAACATATCATTCCACCCCAGTTCCTCCCAAATCTCATGTCCTCACATTTCAAAACAAATCATGCCTTCCCAACAGTCCCCAAAAGTCTTAACTAATTTCAGTATTAACTCAAAAGTTCACAGTCCAAAGTCTCATTCGAGACTGGGCAAGTACCTTCCACCTATGAGCCCATGAAATCAAAAGCAAGTTAGTTACTTCCTAGATACAATGGGGTTACAGACATTGGATAAATACAGCCATTCCAAATAGGAGAAATTGATGAAAACAAAGGGGCTATAGGCCCCATGCAAGTCCAAAATCCAGCGGGGCAGTCAAATCTTAAAGCTCCAAATTGACCTCCTTTGACTCCATGTCTCACATCCAGGTCATGCTCATGCAAGAGGTGGGTTCCCATGGTCTTGGGTAGCTTTGCCTTTGTGACTTTGCAGGGTACAGCCTCCTTTCTGGTTCCCTTCATGGGCTGGCATTGAGTGTCTGCAGCATTTTCAGGTACATGGTGCAAGCTGTTGGTGGATCTACTATTCTGGGTTCTGGAGGATGATGGCTTTCTTGTCACACCTCCACTAGGCAGTGCCCCAATGGGGACCCTTTGTGGGGGCTTCAATCCCATATTTCCCTCCTGCACTGCCCTAATAGAAGCTCTCCATGAGGGCCCTGCCCCTGCAGCAAATTTCTGCCTGGAGATCCAGGTGTTTCCATACATCCTCTGAAATCTAGGAGGAAGTTCCCAAACCCCAGTTCTTGACTACTGTGCACCAGCAGACTCAACACGACATAGAAGCTGCCAAGGCTTGGGGCTTGCACCCTCTGAAATAACAGCCTAAGCTGAATGTTGGCCCCTTTTAGTCATGACTAGAGTGGCTGGGATGCAGGGCAAGTTCCTAGGCTGCACACAGCAGGGGGTCCCAGGGCCCCGCCCACAAAACAATTTTTGTATTCTAGGTCTCAGGTCCTATGATGGGATGGGCTGCAGCAAAGATCTCTGACAAGCCCTGGGGATATTTTCCCCATTTTCTTGGTGATTAACATTTGGTTCCTCATTACTTATGCAAATTCTTATAGCTGGCTTGAATTTCTCCTCAGAAAACGGGCTCTTCTTTTCTATTGCATCACCAGGCTGCCAATTTTCCAAACATTTATGCTCTGTTTCCTTTTTTAAAACGCAATGCTGTTAATAGAACCTAAGTCACATCTTGAATGCTTTCCTGTTTAAAAATTTATTCAGCCAAATACCCTACATCATCTCTCTCAAGTTCAAAGTTCCAGTTCCACAAATCTCTAGGGCAAGGGCAAAATGCCTCTAGTCTGTTTGCTAAAATACAGCAAGAGTCACTTTTTTTTCCAGTACCCAACAAGTTCCTCATCTTCGTCTGAGACCACCTCAGCCTGGATTTCATTTTCCATATCATTATCAGCATTTTGGTCAAAGCCAGTCAACAAGTCTTTAGGAAGTTCCAAACTTTCCCACATTTTCCTTTCTTCTTCTGAGCCCTACAAACTGCTCCATCCTCTGCTTGTTACCCAGTTCCAAAGTCACTTCCACATTTTCCAGTATCTTTACAGCAGCACCCCACCCAACTGGTACCAGTTTACTGTATTAGTTCATTTTCACGCTGCTAATAAAGACATACCCAAGGCTGGGTAATTTATAAAGTAAAGAGGTTTAATTAATTCACAGTTCCACATGGCTGGTGAGGCCTCACAAACATGGCGGAAGGTGAAGGGGAAGCAAGACATGTCTTACATGGCAGCAGGCGAGAGAGAGTTTGTGCAGAGAACACCCCTTTTTAAAACCATCAGATCTCATGAGGATTATTCACCATCATGAGAACAGCACAGGAAAGACCCACCCCCATGATTCAATTACCTCCTGCTGGGTCCATCCCATGACACATGGGAATTGTGAGAGCTACAATTCAAGATGAGATTTGGGTGGGGACACAATCCAATCATATCATGATACTTTTCAGTTAAGTGAAGATTGGGCTTTGGTTTGTCCCATTGCCTACTACTGTTTATTATGACTGTAATATGAGAGATTGCATAATGCATACATAGGCCAAATAACTTTAAGTGGTGCTACTCTTTACAATCAAAGACTCAAAGCAAAGCCTTGAAACATCAAGGCAATTTATAAAATGGCAGTATTAATGCTTCTTGCATTTTAATGCTTAGAGTTCCTAGCAATACACAATCGTGCATTTATTGATTTTAATTTTCTATGAGTATCAGGGTTAATTATTTCTCAAGATGCCTAGATAAAGATATACACTGTAGTCAATAATTTTTGATATTCATTTTGAAAAGTCAATATCTACTTATAAATTATGTAATTGTCAAGATATTTATAAAGAAGAAAGTAATTCCTTTCTTCAAATGAAGTATACTTTTAACTATTTTCTTAGAAAAAGACAGCTTGGAGAAGATACCTGTAAATTACTAAAATAAACTGCTTTTAATTAACATTATTGACTCTTTGATGCTAAAACTTTTTTTGAGTCAGTTAAATTTTTACTATTGGAGAAATATCTGCGTATGGATAGAAGCGATTCAGTTTTTATACAGAATAACCAAATCATGTATCTAGCATTTATATATATATATATAAGGCAACATATCATCCTCCCATTGAAAGAGTAAAGAAGAAGCTGCAAAGTGACAATGCAAAATACACAAAAAATGTGTTCTCCTTGTAACATTTTACTCTTCAGTAGGTGGAGAAATACCCTCATTCATTCATACAGATATATTTCTAGAGAGAGAAGGAAGATTCTCTGAGGCAAAATAAGTAAATAAATAAAAAGGAAGTGTATGAAATGTGAACCTAAAATAATAGAAACTCTACTGCTTTGGACTAAATTGAATCCTCCCAAATTCATATGGAGATATCCTAGTCCCAAATGTTATGGCATTTAGAGATAGAGTGTTTGAGAGATAATTAGGTTTACATAAGGTCATGATAGTGGGACCCTGATGATGGGATTATTGACTTCCTAAGAGACAGAAGAGAGCTTCCTCACTCTTTCTGCCTGGAGGGCACAGAGAGAAAGCAGCTATCTGTAAGCCAGGAAGAGAGTCTTCACAGGAAACTGATCCTGCTGTCACCTTGACCTTGAACTTCTAGTATGCAGAATTGTAAGAAAACAAATTTCTGTTAACTCACTCAGTCTGGCATCCTGTTATGGAAGCCTGAGTGGACTTATATAATTACCAAGAGTCACACACAAAAAGTAGATATGATTTTATTTTTATACTACCAAAATAGTTTCAGAGCCTGGGTACTACTAGAATTTGATATGAAGGGCATTTATCCATAGATAAATAATTAAAACTGCATAATTAATATTATCAGTTAATTTATTGTCTTAAAAATAATAAGAATGAGTAACATGCGAACTAGTATTCACAATGCAAACAAAAAGTCTTAAGAAGATTGGGAAGAACTTCAGAGGAATAACAAAAACAATGGTAACAGTGACATTAATGGTGGTTATGCTGATGAAGATTGTGATGATGAACTATGAATCAGTTATTTTAAAAGAACCATCAGTAGTTTTAGAATGAAAATACATGATTTTGAAAAATTTTTAAAAAATGACTGAAGAGCTGACCAGCTGATTAAACATACCTTTACAGTGAATTATTGAGCTGGAAGTCCATACCACCAGGTTTTTCTAAGAACATAGCACAATAAAACAAAGATTTTTAGAGTATAAAATAACAGTTTAAAATCATTTAATGGAGTTTAGCTTCTCCAGAAGAAGTTTAATTAATATCAATAAAATATTATTTCACATTTATTTTTTATCACATTAAAGACATATTTTTGGACACAGAATGCTTTGTTTATTGATTTTTAAAATATTATTAAATTAATGTGTAAATCAGTAGTGAGGTAAAGAATAATTTGGAAAACTTGGAAAGTAGCCCAAAACACATTTGATATATTTTCTTACACAGAATTTTTAAAAATAAAAATGCTATAGAATAGTTTGAAATATTCTATATTTAAAATATGCAGTATTCAAAGCTAACCAGGAAACTTAAAAAAGTAAACACACGCAAAACTACACATACACAAACAAACACACGTTTCTTTTTCCTTTCAGGTGGAAAGGCATCTGGAAACAGAGGAAAACATTCCATTTAGAAGAAAATCTCAATGTTGTCCTTGGGTTTGTGAGTTTTCAGATCTCTCTTGTTTGAAAATGAGAAGACCAAATCTGGATTTTTCTATGTTCTCCTGGCTCCAGAGAAATAGCCATTGTTTTCCCGGAAATGATGAGGCAATAGAAATCTATAGGCCCATTCCTATAAGTGCCACCTCAGCCATTGCTAATCCACCTGGTAGGCCCTGGGTTCTTCAGGACATTGAGAAATATGAAACTTTTCTAAAACAGAGGGAGCCTTCTTGGATTACATCTCATCCATCAGGGAGCAAGGCTCATGCTCTAAGCTCCAGTACACTGCTAAGAATTCTAGGTAAATCTCTACTGATAAACCCTTCATATCTCTCTGTCTACCTACTGACTCCTTCTCTGGGGTCCTGAATATATCTATTATAAAACTTTCTTGAGAAACTTCACCTATATCTTATCCTGTATCCTATTTACTTAAAAAAAGTATTTACTTTTTACAAATGTCAACAGCTTTAGGGTAAAAGTGGGTTTTGATTAACATGGATGAATTGTACGGTGGTTAAGTCTATATTTTTAGTGTACCCATCACCCGAATAACACACATTGTACCTAATAGGTAATTTTTCCTCCTTCATCCCTTTCCCAACCTCCTCGCTTCTGAGTCTCTAGTTTCATTATACCATCCTGTATGACCCTGCATACTCATGGCTTAGCTCTTTGCAATTGTGACTTGTGCTGCAATAAATATCTCATGAGGAAAACACATTTTCTAATAATACTTTAGCTACTATTATTACATCAGCCTTCTTGCATAGGAAAACTTTCACACATCCAGAAAACATGTATTGCAAATGACAATTGAATCAAATCCTCCTATAAGTGTTTAAGTGGTCCATCAAATAGCAGATACATACCAGAAATTTTTATTGTCTTTATTCTCTTCCCAGGATTATGGGTTTGACAAACCAAACCTTGGTCATAAACCATTTTAACAATTTAGAACAGTCACCACATATATGTATATATCTAAATGTATTTGATTTTTTCCTCACAAAAGCCCTTTTGGAATTAATAAAAAGATAAAACATTATTCTTATATGAAGCTCCACTTAAAACTCTCTATGTATCTTCTAGTGTCTTCAAATATCCCACCTCCTACCCATAACATACTAAGAAAGTTTAAGGCAATAAAAATCTTAAAAATTACTCTTATAACATATTCTCACCCTCCCTAGAGCCAGAGATCTCCTAAAAAAACTTAAATTCAAAACAAAATTAATTTTCTTTAACCTTAGTAGTCAAACCTCTTTTACTCTAATGCTATTATTTTTTTGTGAGTTTCTTAAAAGGCTGTACAACAAAGGTTAAATTGTGTAATGTCATTTTAATCATGACAGTATTTATATTCTTTGGAGCAATGAGATTCATCTTAATGACCTACTGTACTGGTATAATTTTTTTTATAGTAAAAATGACCAAACAAGGAAGGCGAAATACATTGAATATATTTCAAAATGTCAAGTTCTTAGATTGGAGCTCATATGGTTGTCTAGTTGGGGGAGATAACTCCATTCTCTTCTTTAATATTTTATAAATGAGAGAAGAGTTCAAAATTATTTAGAAATTGATTTGTAAATCCAAGACAAATAACCAAGTATTCTGACATCTCATTAAATGTCCCTGTAATATGTATTCAGTGTATTATTTATACCCTTTTTAAAACTAAATCACTGCTACCTGAAAATTAAGTCCGGATATCAAACAGCTATATAGTCTTTTTCATATAAAAACAAAAGTTTATTCTATTCATATAAACATTAAAATGTGGGCTTGTTTTTAAACAAACAAAAGTAAGAGTGCTAGTATAGTTTTACCAATATTCTGTCATTTGAACTAGGCACTGTGCTGATTATAGGACTGGAAATTGACTAAATATTTTAATCCAATATAATAATATTCACAAATTCAATCAAAGCTATGTAAATATAATCTACAACTATTAACTTCCCAATTAATAGAATTATATATAGTACAATGTATAGTAGGGCATTTAATAATACAATCACCACTACTGAAAAGCTTTACTCATAACATTTTAGTGCCTGGAATATAAAAGGGATTGCATGTGTCTTGAATAAGTAAATAAAATATTAAAATATATTCTTCTTTGTTAAAATCATTTTGTGTTCAGGTATAAAATTATATATTAATAAAAGAGATTTTTACTATTTAAATGTAAGTATATATTATCCATTTGAAGTTTATTAATGATGAATGTAAGTATACAAAATACTGTATATTATTTGATACCAACATTTATTCACTAGTGTCTTTACTTTTCCATAAACAATACATAATGAATGCAGCTCTTTACAAGTAAATTTTGGTAGAAACAAAATCTTATAGAATAATTATGAGAGAAAAAATGTAAGAAAATCTAAGGCCATAGAAATTTAAATTAAAATTGAAAACATTGGATGCTTAAGTCAATACTTATAACTATTTCCTATTCAGACAGCTTGTTCAGATATACCATTTCTTGAATTTTTAATTCACAAAAATATTATTTTTATATGTATCATACTTGACAAAAAGGACCAAAAAACCCTATTCTTGAATTTAAGTTTAATATTCTGCAGTTATTACATAAACGTAAGGTTTAGCAAACAGTTCTAGCAAATAAATACAATTCCCCAAATTTTTCAGCACTTACACAGTCATAAAAATTCTCTGTTTGAAAATAAAATATGTTTATTTTCCCACAACCTGGTATATGAGAGGACCTCCCCTCTCTCTGCATCCTTGACAGCATTTTTTTTTCTTTTTTTCTTTTTTTTTTTACTTTTTGATAATAGCCATTCTAACTGGGGTAAGGTGATATCCCATCCCAGCTTTAATTTTCATTTGCCTGATACTTAGCAATGTTGACTGAGCATTTTAAAAATATACATCTGTTGACTATTTGTATGTCTTCTTTTGAGAAATGTCTATTCAGGTCTTTTGCCCATTTTTAATAAGATTATTTGTGTGTTTTGCTACTGAGTTAAATTCCTTATATATTCTGGATATTAAGAAGTTGTCAGATACATAGTTTAAATTATTTTTTAAGTTTTTATTTATTATTATTTTTATTTTTTGAGATGGAGTCTTGCTCTGTCAACCCAGGCTGGAGTGCAGTGGCACTAGCTTTGCTCACTCCAACCTCAACCTCCTGGGTTCAATAGATTCTCCTGTCTCAGCCTCCCAAGTTGCTTGGACTACAGGCACGTGCCACCACAGCAGGTTAATTTTGTGTATTTTTAGTAGGAACGGGGTTTCGCCATGTTGGCCAGCCTGGTCTTGACCTTCTGATATCAGGTGATCCACCTGCCTTGGACTCCCAAAGTTCTGGGATTACAGACACATAGCTTAAATTAATAGAGTCATTATGGAAAACAGTACAGAGGGTTCCTCAAAAAATTAAAAATAGAACTACCATTTGATTCAGCAATCCTAGTACTAGGTATATATCCAAAAGAAATGAAACCAGTATATCAGAGAGATATCTGCACTCCAATGATTATGCAGCATTATTCACATGGCCAAACCATGGAATCAAACTAAATGCCTTTCTACAGATGAATGGGTACAGAAAATATGGTGTGTGTGTGTGTGTGTGTGTGTGTGTGTGTGTGTGTGTGTGTGTGTGTATGTATGTATTTTAAAAAGTTGATCTCACAGAAATGAGAATAGAATAGTGGTTACCAGAAGCTGGGTCAGTACAAGGGAGGATGGATGAAGAGTGGTTGGACAAGGACTAAAAAGTTATGGTTAGACAAGAAGAATAAGTTCTGGTGTTTTAATACACAGTAGGATCACCATAACTAATAAAATGTTCATTTCTTTTTTTAATTTTTTTTTGAAATGGAGTCTTGCCCTGTCACCCAGGTGGGAGTGCAGTGGTGCAGTCTTGGCTCACTGCAACCTCCACCTCCCAGGTTCAAGTGATTCTCCTGCCTCAGCCTCCCGAGTAGCTGGGACTACCGCACCCACCATACCCAGCTAATTTTTGTATTTTCAGTAGAGACAGGGTTTCACCATATTGACCAGGCTAGTCTCAATCTCCTGACCTCAAGTGATCCACCTGCCTCAGCCTCCCAAAATGCTGGGATTACAGGCATGAGCCACCATGCCCAGCCTAAAATGTTCATTTCAAGATAGTCAGAAGAGAGGATTTTGAATGTTATCACCACAAAGAAATGACAAATGCTTAAGGCAATGAATATAATAATCACCCTGATTTAATCATTACACATTGTATATATGCATTGAAACATCACACTGTATCCCACAAATATGTACAGTAATCATGTGTCAACTATAAATTTTTAAAACTTTTAAATTAAAAAACTAAATGGTAGATATTTAATTGCCACTGATAAGTGCAGAGATTTAAAGAGACAATAAGGAAAGATGCATAGAATCATGAATTTTGGAAAATAATTTCCTGGGTTTAAATCCTAGATCAACTATTAATTAGCTTTTTAACACTAAGGCACTTACTAATTATTTCCATTTCTTATTATACTCATTTCAAAATTAGGGATAAATTAAATGCATAGTATTAGCCAAGATTGAATGATGGATATAAAACTGCAATGAATCGTGGAAAAGATAATTTATTGTGGGAATTAGACCTTGTAAAATTGTGAAATGAGAGGGAGACATGAATATAAGACAGGGAACAGGAGAGATTTAATTGAGTCACCACTCTATCAAAGTGAGAAGCCAAACACATATTAAGGAGTTGAAGAGGAAATACAAAGAGGAAGACACTAACAGAGGGAATGTGAACATGTTTCCTCTGTGGGTCTATATCACCTGTGGTGAACGAACCATGACACATAGTTAGAGAGAAAAGCCCACAGTTCAGAAGGAGACCTGGATGACTGGCACGGGGGCTCACGCCTGTAATCTCAGCATTTTGGGAAGCCGAGGCAGGCGCATCACCTAAGGTTGGAAGTTCGAGACCAGCCTGACCAACATGGAGAAACCCTGTCTCTACTAAAAATACAAAAATTTAGCTGGGCGTGGTGGTGCATGCCTATAATCCCAGCTACACGGGAGGCAGAGGCAAGAGAATCGCTTGAACCAGCGAGGTGGAGGTTGTGGTGAGCCGAGATCACCCCATTGCACTCCAGCCTGGGTAACAAGAGCGAAACTCCCTCTCAAAAAAAAAAAAAAGGAGACCTGGACGATGTATGGGGGAGCAGGAGGACAAGCTGGAAATTTCTGAGTGTCTCTGTGTCTGTCATCACCTCTAACCACAGCAACCTTCAAAGAGTGGTGGCCAATTCCACACTTCTCCATCCCACATCTTGTGAAAGGTTCTGTTCTTTGTTTGTTTGTTTTTTTTCCAACCCAGAAATATACAGGGAGGTAGAATCTGGAGAAGTTAATTCACAGTTTAGTCAAGTTAAAAATAGGATGATCTGCCACAACTTCGTTATTGGAAGTCTGTGAGAATTACATGGGTTAATGCATGTAAACAAGTCGTACAAACTCCCACTTGTAGAAACAGTAACCACAGCCCCCCTCCACAACTATCACATACAACTGGGATTTTGACACCAACGTAAGAGATGCTATCAGACATAAGAGCAGCAAAGTGATGTGACAATTGAGGTAAATAAAACAAGTGGAATCCGATGATCTTGCTTATTCTCCAAAGGCATTTTCCAGGACTCAAGGAAGGAAGATGAAAATCAAAGAGACTCAGCATCTTTGCTGATTTAAAGATACAAAGATCAGATTTTGAGGATGTTGAAATGGCTAGAATTTTCAGGGCATAATATAAGATAAAAGGGAGCTGTATAGAGAAAAAGCTTTTCAGATTTCCTTGAATCTTTGAATGCTGATCTGTGCATTCACAGAAGGAATTGCTAAGAGGTGCAGGAAAACAGTAAACTGAGGTTTTTGGACTTGACAGAGAACTAGGAGTTGTGTGTGTTCTCAGCAGCCAGATTAGAAAGACCTCATAACGTCCAGGCCATCTGAGAGAATCCTCAGAAGTGTATCACCATATTAATGGGATTACATTAGTGTTAGGCAAGAGATAGTCTAGAGTCATTTTCATAGGGGTAACAAACCTTAAATTGATTAAATGGTTTCTAAGCAAATTTATACCAAGAAAAAAGTTCAGCTTTCTTTAAAGATATAATTCAGAATCCAAGAACTTAATTGACAACTGGCATTCAATTAAAAAAAGTAAGAGATACAGAAATGACAGTTACTGGAATTAGAAGATAAGGGCATTTAAATGGCTATTATAAACATATTCAATATGCTTAACGTTATAGAAGAAAATATGTCCATAGTGAGAACAGAAATAGAAGATATAAAAGTGACCTAACTGCAACCACCAGAGATGAAAATTACAACATGAGAAATAAAAAAAAATACTGTCTGAGATTATCAACAAATGAGACACAGCAGAATGAAATGCCATTGAACATGAAAGCATAGCAATATACACTATTCAAAGGCAGGCAGAGAGGGAGGAAATAGAGAAAGAATAAATACACCATCAATGAATTAGAGGACAATAATAAGTGACCTAAATATATGCTAAAATTCTTATAATTAAATAGTTGTAGTAATGGCTAAAAGATTTCAAAATTTGAATAAACCCATATACCCATAGGTGCAAGAAATTAAATCAACCACAATAACAATAAATATAAACCCACAAAAAGGCACATTGTAATCAAACTACAAACATCTAGTGGCAAAGATACAATCTTAAGAACACCTAGAGCAAAATACAGAAGACTAATAGAAGAAGAAAATTAGGTTAAACAATAAGTTTATCATCACAAATCCATACATGCCAGAAAAAATGAAATAATAAATTAGTATGCTTTAAGAAAAATAAAGTGAACCAAGGGTTTTAAATACTGAGAAAATGTATTTCTAAAATAAAGAGAAATAAAGAGTTTTTCAGGAAACAAAATAAAAATTTATCATTCATGAACCTGCCTAAAAAAAGTAAAAGTAACTTCCGATGGTGGAATGAAATGATACCTGATGAAAATGAATAAAAAGGCATCAGAAAAATAAATGTATGTGTAGGCATAAAAATAATACTTTTAACCTTGTTTCAGTTATTTTCAAAAGATACTTGATTTTATGAAAAATAATAGCAACAATACCCTTTGAGATTTATGTACAAGTAAAATATTTGACAACAATAATACAAATGGGGAAATTAAAGTGCACTATTGTGCTGCTCATCGATTATAAGTGAAGTAGTATAATAGCATATGAAGGTAGACTGTGATAAATCAAAGATGTATATTTTAAACTACAGGACAATCACTTAAAAGAAGAGTTGAATGAAAATATGTAGATAATAGACCAGGCGTGGTGGCTCACTCCTGTAATCCCAGCACTTTTTGGATCTCCTGAGGTCAGGAGTTTGAGACCAGCATGGTCAACATAATGAAACCCCATCTCTACTAAAAATACAAAAATTAGCCTAGCATGGTGGCGCATGCCTGTAATTCCAGCTACTTGGGAGGCTGAGGCAGGAGAATTGCTTGAACCCGGGAGGCGGAGGTTGCAGTGAGCTTAGATCACACCACTGCACTCCAGCCTGGGCAACAGAGGGAGACTCCATCTCAAGAAAAAAAATATATATATATACAGATACACACACACACACACACACACACACACACACACACACACACACGTACGTAGATAATGAGACAATAGAATACAAAATGGAAAGATACTTTTTTAAATATAGAAGGCATGAAATAAAAAAGAATAAATAAGAAAAGAGAAAACAAACAGCAAGATGGGTAGATTTAAAACCTTATCAAAATTACAAGAAAATGGGAATGATCTAATCACACTAATTAAGATGCATAGAGTATAACATTGGATTATAGAGGAAGACCAAAAATATTAACTTTAGAAAAATTTACATTAAATACAAGACACATAAATTAAAAGTTAAAGGATGTTAAAAAAAAAAAAAGACATACCATGAAAACACTTCTTAAAAAGAAGCCAGAGTGACTATATCAATATCAGAAAAAGGGCAAAAATGTCAACTTTCTTTCATTTTTATTCATCATTTTACATGAGATGCTAGATAGTGCAAGAAAGCTACAGAATTAAAAACAGAGACATTTTAACATCTTTGTTTTGCAAAATTGTGTACCAATAAATAATGAAGAACTATGCAAAAATGCACTACAGTTCATGTCTTTTCCTAGTGTGGTTGTAGGCTAAATGGGAAACATATTTCTATATACCAGTCATAAAGAATTGGAAAATGGAATTTTATAACAGCAAAACAGATGGTAAAAGAACTCAGAATAGTAAAAAAAAATTATAAAAGATGCACATAGTTTGAAGGCCTCAATGAACTGCCTTTAAAAACAATTATAAAGCCATAGTAAACAGTATGGGTTATTGTGAGCATAAGAACAAATATAGTTTCATTGAGCCAGAGGGAAGAGAAGTAGATGCACACATATGAGATCAACTGGGTTTGGACAAAATACACAGCATTTCAAAGGGGGAAAAGAGAATCTCTTTAGCAAATGTCCCTGATATACCTGGAAATCCATTACAATAGAAATCTCTATGCCTTTTGTTCAATTTTGCTGTGAATATAGAAGTTTTCTAAAAAATAAAGTATTGAAAGGGAAAAAAGAGAGAATGTACATTACATGACAGATGATAGATCTAAATATAAAATTAAATACCTAAATTTGCTTTTAAGTTTAATTTGATATTTAGATAGAAATATCAAATTAAACCTAAAAGTAAACTTCTAGAAATAAGCGTTAGTAAAAAATATTTGTGATCATTAGTTAAGCAATAATTTACTGGATAAGGTATACAAGCACAATTCATAAAATAATTTAGAAAGATGGCTGTACATCAAAAATATCATAAAACAATTCAAACATTTTATAAACAAAATGTTTAACATGGAAATAAATATTTGCAAAACTTATACTTTAATAAAGTAATTTAATCCAGACTATATTGTTTGTACAGATCAAAAATAAGCCCACAATCCGATAAACTTAATGTACAACAGTTGTAAACAAGCATTCCACTGAAGAAGACATACACATTGCAAAGAAACACATGAAATGATAGCCAACATAATTTTCATCAGGGAAATGAAAATCAAAAGTATAATGAAAAATTACTACAAATTCTGCCTAATGATTACCATTAAAAAGACTGACAGTACCAAGATTTGGAGAATAAATAGAATAGCTGGAAGTCCCATTGTTGCTAATGGGAATATGACATGATGCAGCTATTTTTGAAAACCAGTTGGAAGTTTCTTACATAGTTGAAAATCCACTTACTATGTTATTCACCAATTCCACTCCTAGGTATTTACTCAAGAGAAATAAAAACATGGGTCTACACCAAGACTTATTGACAGAGTGATTCATAATATTTTCTGTTTCCAAACATGATACAATCCATATCTTCATCAATAGGAGAATGCATAAGACCAATTGTGTTGTAACCTTAAAATCAAAGATTATTTAGCAATAAAAAATAAAGTAATGATGGATGCAATAAATCATGACTCTCAAAATCACCTCAAAATCATCATGAAAAGGGAAAAGACCAGGAACCAAAGGCTATATGACATATTACAATTCTTATGTCAAATTTTAGAAGTGGAAAATAATGGAGACAGAAATCACACCAGTGGTTGCCATGGGAAGGCACTGGGGAGAAAAATGACACAAAGTGGCCATTGTGACTTTGAAGTTTGGTGGAAACACTCTGCACCATGAATTTGGTGCTAGTTACATGAATGTGTACATTCGTCAAAACTTGTCATAATGTGCAACTAAAATTGGTAAAGTTTATTGTTATGTTAACTATACTATAATAAAGCTATTTTTAAATATTTTAACTTTTCTTTAGGTGCAGGGATACATGTGCAGGTTTCTTATGTAAATAAACTCATGACTTGGGGCTTTGCTGCACAGATTATTTTATCCCTCAGGTACTAAACACAGTATCAAGTTGTTTTTTTCCTGAACCTGTAGCTCCTCCCAACCTCCTCCTGCAACTAGGCCCGAGCGTCTGTTGTTTCCTACTTTCTGATCATGGGGTTTCATTATTTAGCTCCCACTTATAAGTGAGAACATGCAGTATTTATTTTTCTGTTCCTGCATTAGTTTGCTAAGGATAATAGCCTACAGTTCCATCCATGTTCCTGCAACAGATATGATCTCATTCTTTTTCATAACTGCATAGTATATAATGGTGTATATCTATCACATTTTCTTTATCCGGTCAACTGTTGATGGGCATTTTGGTTGATTCTATGTTTTTGCTTTTGTGAATACTGCTGCAGTGAACGTATGTGTACATATGACTTTATGGTAGAATGATTTAAATTTCTTTAAGCATATACTTAGTAGTGGGACTACCGGGTCAAAAGGTGTATAGAAACTGCACACAATATATGTTAGCTACTGTAAAATACTCTATGCTTGCATTGTCACACTATTTTTAATTCCAGAGGGGAAAAATATTCTAGGTTTTAATGGAGTAAAATATTATTATTAACTATTGGCAAAATATTTAGAAATAACTATCCATTTTACATGAGTATCCATTGTACATAACTATCCATTGTACATGAGTAGAGTATGAATTAATGAATGCATTTTAAAAACCTGCACATTTGAAGAGGAAATGGGAAGAGTTATTTTTCGAACCAAAGCAATAATACACAAGTCACCCTAAATTCAAGTTAAAAAATCAAATATTTACAAATATGAGATAAAAAAGTACTAAATTATACTATGCAAAATAAATTATGAATCTAAAATAGAAAAATATGAAATTTCATCTAGTTGCAGATATTATAGAACTTTAAGAAATTTAGAGAAAAATTTTCTGAGATTGAAAAGAATTATAAATATGTAATAGAAAATAAAATGACTAAGGAATTATACGAAAAAAAGGAAAAAGAAAAGAAAAACCTGTGAAAGACATGTTAGGAGTT
This sequence comes from Homo sapiens, assembly GCF_000001405.40. Classification (NCBI taxonomy): domain Eukaryota; kingdom Metazoa; phylum Chordata; class Mammalia; order Primates; family Hominidae; genus Homo; species Homo sapiens. The sequence goes on along the minus strand of NC_000005.10, from coordinate 20,840,542 downwards.
CAAGATATTAAAGTGAGTCCAGTGAGGTGGGTGAGACTTGGGAGCAAGATAGTAGACTTATAAATAAAAGCCTTTGGTATTTGGTGTAAGATAAAAATATATACATAAAATGTGTGTGTGTGTGTGTGTGTGTGTGTGTGTGTGTGTCTGTGTGAGAGAGAGAGGGAGAAAGAGAGAGAGATGGATTTTTAACCTAAAGTGTTTTTCAATAAACTAAGTATTTCTTATTTTATAATACATTTGGTAGATAATTACAACACATGTAATTATATTTTTATTTTCTTTCTCATATCCATCAGAGTGACCAGCATAGCTTGAATGAATGAAAATTTATATCTTGTCTCATTCACTGTAATCATTTAGTCCAATGCTAACTTCTGCCTGTTTCTACATACATATGTATCCTCAAAGCTGAATTCTTAAAATTATATTCTTATATAGACACCAGGTCCCACTACTAAACCAAGGAAATTTACTTCAATTTACAGCAAATCATCTTATTCCCATGAAGTTTTAATGTATGTGCATATTTTTGCTATGTTTTTTTATTGTGTTTTAACTGGAAGTCTCTAAATGAGTTGATAATTGCTTTCCGAACATTTATAAAGCTCATTTGAAATATGTATACTACACTGAAGAGATACACTAAGTAAGGTGCTACAGGCCCCATGCAAGTCCAAAACCCAGCAGGGCAGTTGTTAAATCTTAAAGCTCTGAAATTATCTTCTTTGACTCCATCTCTCACATTCAGGTCCCACTGATGGAAGGAGTGGGCTCCCAAGGCCTTAGGCAGCTCTGCCTCGGTGGCTCTGCAGGGCTTAGCCCCCACGGCTGCTCTCAAGGGCTGGTGTTGATGGCCTGCAGCTTTTACAGGCACATTGTGTAAACTGTTCGTGTATCTACCATTCTGGGGTCAGGAGGACAGTAGCCCTCTTCTCACAGTGCCCCAGTGTGGACTCTGTGTGGGGGCTCCAACCCCACATTTCCCCTCCACACTGACAATTTATTATTGCATTGGCTTAAAAATCAATTTGTTAGAAATAACAATATAAAGTTATTTCAAGATATATCTTCTCAAGAAACTAACATAACTTTGAAATGTTAACTGAGTTCTATATCTAAAAAAGGATGTTACACATTGTTGTGAATTAAATTTTCTCTTCAAAATTATAAATTTAAGTCCTACCCCTGAAATTTGAATAAACATCTATCTTTTATTAGAGCTGAGTTTTTAAAATGAAACAAAACCATTGCATGTTCCACAGTAGAGAATGCAAAAGAAATCATAAAGAAATGACTCCAAAATTTTCTTAAATCCTCTGGGGTCTTATTAAGACTTATATTGGGTACACATCTTTGGAACACTAGCACAGCAGTGTAGTATAATCCCATGGGCATTTGAACAGAAATTTTCTGGATATCAATACATCCTATGAACGTAACCTTATTTGGAAATAATATTTTTTAGATGTAATTGAGTTCAGATGAGGTCATACTGAATTTATGTGGGCCATATCCAATGGCTACTGTCCTCAAAAATGGTAATTTGGACACAGACTCACACAGGAAGAAGGACATGAGATGAGGGAGACAGAGTTCAAGTGACGCAGCTGCAAGCCAAAGAATGCCAATGATTATAGATGACTATCAGAGGCTAGGAGAGACACATGGGACAGATTCTCTTACAGAGCCTCCAGAAGGAAAGAGTCCTACCTTAATTTTGGCTTTTAGCCTCCAGAACTGTAAAAGAATAATTTTTTTGTGTTAAACCACCCAGTTTCTGGTAATTTTTAAAGGTATCTCTAGGAAACTATTACATACACTTATTACAATACTGTTGCCATTATTCAAAACACTTTCGGAGCTTCCCATGGAAACTGCCTCAGGCAGCATTAGGTTCCCAGTCATGTTATGTTAGCAAAGCCTTTATATTTTCATAGTGGAATTGATTTAGTAAATAGCCAAAACTGATATAGTAACTGTATTAGTCTGTTTTCATGCTGCTGATAAAGACATCCTGAAACTGGGAAGAAAAACAGGTTTATTTGGACTTACAGTTCCACATGGCTGAGGAGGCCTCAGAATCATGGCAGGAGGTGAAAGGCACTTCTTACATGGTGGTGGCAAGAGAAAATGAGGAAGAAGCAAAAGTGGAAACCTTGATAAACCAATCAGATCTCATGATATTCATTCACTATCACAAGAACAGCCCAGGAAAGACCCACCCACATAATTCAATCACCTCCCACCGGTTTCCTCACACAACACTTGGGAATTGTGGGAGTTACAATTCAAGGTGAGATTTGGGTGGGGACACAGCTGAACCATATCAGTAACATATACTACTTAAGATACTTCTTTTTTTTCTTTTTCTTTTCTTTTTTTTTTTTTTTTTTTTTGAGACAAAGTTTTGCTCTTGTCGTCCAGGCTGGAGTGCAATGGTGCAATTTTGGCTCACTGCAACCTCTGACTCCTGGGTTCAAGTGATTCTCCTGCCTCAGCCTCCCGAGTTGTTGGGATTACAGGCACCTGCCCCCACGCCCACCTAATTTTTATTATTTTTAGTAGAGATGGGGTTTCACCATGTTTGCCAGGCTGGTCTCAAACTCCCCACCTCAGGTGATCCAGCCACCTCAGTCTCCCAAATTGCTAGGATTACAGGTGTGAACCACTGCACCCAGCCAAGATTCTTCTTTTAAAAAACGTACTGAAAAAAATTTTAATAAGAAAATAAGGAAAGCTAAGACTTATTAGTAGTTTATAATGTGTTCAGCACTTTATATTGCTTTATGTTTGATATTTTATTTAATCTTAATAACCCAGTGCAGTATATACTTCTTTATTGACATTTTACAGACAAGGGCCAGGGAATTGAGAGGTTGAGTATTGTGATGAATAATATACAGCTATACAGAGAGGACATGCTAGTCTCTTTAAAGCAATATTTTTTAAGCATCTACTTTATTCTAGGTAATCTTTTTGGAACCAAAATAGTAGATAACATGAACAAAAATGGGATATAAAAATAAATATGATGTGTATAGTGTTCTTTGCAATGAAAACGAGTGACTTAAAATAGACTCTGATTCACATGAAAAACTTCATTAGAGAAAAAAAAAATCTTAAAATAGTCTTAGCTGAAATTTGGTATAAAAAGCTTTTCCTTGGACAAAAAAATAACTATCTTTTCTTTAGATTTGAATTTTTTTGATGAAACCATTACATGTTCCACTGTAGATAATTCAAGAGAAATTGGACATAAATGACTCCAAGATTTTCTTAAATCTTCTGAGGTCTTATCATGACTTATATTTAATACAAACCTTCAAGGCTCCGACAAAAATGTAGTATAATCACATGGGAATTTTAAAATATTATTTTTCTGCATAAAAATATTGAAATAAATTCCCTGTTGCCATTCTATGTTTTACCCTAAGATAACTCAAATAATTTCAGGAAAATGTACAAATATGTATTATTTCTGAAGTAATAAGACATATATTAGAGCACAGACAATGATTGAATGAAGAATACAATATTTTGAGATTAGACATTATAATACTTTAATCACTCTCTATTCAAGCTTTCAAAAGCCTTGCAAGTAAGAATGTAAAACTAACAAGTTGTAATTACGGAAAAATAAGTGTAAACATTTACAGAGATGAGGGTGCTTACTTATTTAACAAAATGTAACTATAGACCAAGTCTTTAAATACAATTTTTCTTTGCTACCATAAATATTGTATGTAATTGGATGCCATGTTCTAACTATACCAAATGATTAAGGAGTAGTTAAGTCCCAGTCAGATTTTGTACGGCTTTCTCTGCATATAAAGACTTTACTATTGAAGAAGTTTAAGTTGATTGCTCACATGAAGCGATACTCCTTTTTAAGAGCTTTATCTGTTAGTCTTGTATGGTATGATTTGGAGAAAGGGAGACAGACTAAAGTCACGTGGATCAGTTAACAGACAACTAAAATCGAACGGGTGTGAGGTGATGGATGAAGTAGAAAAAAGAAAGGTAAAAGAAGAAATGGTTAGTATATAAATGGAGACTATATCAGAGGTAGAATTTGATATATATGGGTGGTGGCGGGGAGAGGGAGGTGTTCAGAATATATGAAGAACTTTCACAAAGTGATAAATCGCCAACAGAAAAATTTGCAAATGATTCAAATAAGCTCTTCATAAAATATCCAATGGTCACCAAATATATGAAAAGGTGCCTTTATGTCATTTGTCATAAAGTAGAAAATGCAAATTAAAACAGAAATGTGATCTCACCAGAAGAGTAAGTGCAAGTGACAGAGAATTGCATGTGTGTGGAGAACATGGAGCAACTGAAATTCTCATATACTGTTACAGAAAATGCAAACTGGTAAAGTCACCTTAAAAAGATAGTAGTATCTATTAAAGCCAACCTACTTACACCTGTAACCAAGTAGCTTTTCTTCTGTGTATATACTTACCATATATGTTCAACAAAATACAAGAAAAGACCATTCATAGCAATGAACTAATAATAGCTAAAATCTGGAAAGAAGACAAATGTCCATCCACAGTAGCACCAATTAATAAATTGTGATATCTTTATGCAATTGAGCCCTGGGCATCATTGAGAATGAAGAAACTACAACCACATGCAACACTGTAGATATATGCCACATGCAAAATATTGAGCAAATTAAGCGAGACATAAATAGTACCTATTGATGATCTTTTTAACATCAAGTGTAAAAACAGACAAAAATGACTATGATCTTAGATGTGAGGATTGTGATTACTCTTTTATTGGGAGTGGTGGGGGCACCATTGTTATTACCAACAACAAAAGTATATGAGGGAGGCTTTGTGACATCAGGTTGTGTTCTGTTTCTTCTTGTGTGTGCCAGTCACAGGTGTGTTTATATAAGTGTATCACTGGTGTGATTATGAATATGCACTGTTCTGGATTTAGGTTATAAATTTAATAAAAAGTTTGGTATGAAAAATAACCTGATAAATATGTCGAGGAGCTCTGAGAAGCTATAAAGCATATAGTGGGGTGTCTAGAATTGCTAAGCATGGCTTGAAAATATGCATGTCACATTAAAATCCATGAGTAACTTACTGTTACTTCAGCATGTCTAAGAAATAAAAATATAATTATTAGTTTTCCTTGAAAAAGCATTTACAGATTACTATTATTTGAAATAAGCCTCTAGCTGAAAAGATTGTCATTTTTATTATTACAGATAGAACGACTACTTTAGAGATTTGCAAAAGTATTATCAATATTCAAAGTCATCTGTTTATAATTCATTTAGTTAAGCTTTACCTCTGAAAAGTCAATAAAAGGACTTTCTCTTCTTTAGTGTCTTAGTACTCTTTCTTTCTTAATACCTATTTATTGTCCTTTAGTTTGAATGCAAAGTTTAATGATCCATACATTTTAGGCATTTAATTTAATAAAAAAAGAAACGCAGGATCTTAAAAAATGACTAATGACATCTTAAAAATACTCTTAATAAACTAGATTGCCTCATGATGCCATATAACAAATATTAGTGACTCAACAGACACTTCATCCACCAATTCACTTGAAAAAAAATTCATATTAACTGGCTACTCCAGGAGAGAAATGCATGTATCCAAAAGTGTCTTTTTGTGAAGAGGTGATGGTACTAAAGGTGGAGAAGTGAAGAATCTAGGGAGAATATTGTCTTTCACGGTTTTTCAAGTGTACTATGATGATATTTGGATTATCCTGATGCATATGTAACATGAAACACTGTCTCATTTGTAGATTGATTTATTTCACTAATAGTAGTAGTAGTCGTAAAAATTTTCATAGTTTGAAAGGCCTTTGCATGAAAATGAGAAGTATCATAAGTACAATTTTCAACTATCAACCTTGAAAAACTCCATGGTTCTTCAAATTCATGCATTTGAAGAACCCACTTAGAAGATAAGGGGGAAGAAAAGGAATAGAACCCTTTATACATGGTTTTAAGTTGGTCTCATAACATAGACTTTCTTAACAAGCAAAACATGAGTCAAAATATTACACGAATTTGTCAAAGTTATAAATTAAAATCTTTATATTTTCATGGTATACCCATTTCCATCATGTTTTCAAGATGCAACCTCATCTGTGATGGAAGAAACTTTACATTTTTACAACTACACTTTAATAATTGTATTTTTAATTAGCTGTCTGGTTCTTCACATCATTTCATTGATATTAATAACTAAATTACCCATACAAGTATCATAGATGCCCAATAAATAGATATAATAGATATAGGCATACTTGTATGACTATTTGTACAGTATAAAAATGCTTTATCAGAATTATTATAAATAATTCAGTTCTTTCTCTCTACTTTGTAGCTTTTTGGAAATACGTAAGCTGATAAACTTAATTAAAAGTCACATAACTAAGTAAAGGGGTTCCTAACTTACCAAATTCTAAGCTTTTTAGCATGGAACTAAGTCAAACATCCAAATTTTCATGCTTATGAGAGGTAGAATGAGAAAAAATGTGGCTAGAGAAAATATTCATTAGTAAAGTTGCAAAGCAGGAAAATTTTATACATTAACACCTTATATCTTTCGTTCATTAAATTTTAAAAATTTAAAGTGAGATTTCTTTTTTTTGCATTAAATAAAGTAACAAGAAAACTTTGTTACTACCTTAAAAAAATAAGAACAAGCCTAATTATCAACAAAAGAGTAAGATCATAAGAATACATGGTGAAAAAAAAAATCCAACAGATGACAAGTATTTCCAAGAAGAGATGCAATTCATAAAGCATTTTACCTAAGACATAATAATGGGAAATAGATTTTGATAATATAAAATTAATTTGGGCAAAACAGGCTAAATTTTAATGGGCTACTGATCTATTGTGGGAGTAGCATGAGAGTTTAGGATCTCTGAAAGCTCCAGACAAAAGAGAAGATTTCTATCCGGTTGTTATCCCTTTTCCCAGATCAAGTGTTTATGAGTAGGATTGAAAACAGGATAGAAATATCAACTGTAAGGATGCATGACTTGCCAGTATTTGAGGGTGAAGAAGGAAAATCTAACACAGCTTGCCTGTTTACCAAAACCAACATTACTACAAGGCAATAGTTGGCTTCCCATAGTGGTGGGCCTGAAAACTGGCCCCATACTCTTGTCCTGGATGCGATGAGAGGCAGAAGTTCTCTGCTACTGGAGGGGAAAATGGAACCTCATCTGCTCCAGATGCTTCATTTCCATAAGAAAGAATTTATACGTCACTGGGGGAGAGACAAAAATGATCAGTATCCTCAACTGTGCAAACTAATGAAAGGCCAAGGTTGGCTACCACTGGGAAAGAGACAGAAAACCTGCCTGCCCGAGACTCTGCATTGACCCAAGGTGAAAGCTCTCTGCTGCTATGGAAAGTACAGAAAATATACCCATTATAGATTCTTTGAATCTATGGTATTCAGTTGTCTGTTATTAAAGACTGAAAGGAAATCACACTCATTTCTGACATTGCACTGAAATGAGGCAAAGACCTGCCACCCTGGGGCAGTGGTAGGAACACTCTTTGTTCTCAGGACCTTGAACTGAATGGGAAGAAGAAGTTGTTTGCCATGAAAGAGTAGGAGTGCTGAGAGAGGCTAAGGCTTGGCTCAAAGAAACAGGATCTGCACCTGGCTGACTTGGAAGCAGGGAAACTGAAAACCTTTCTTCTCAATGTTAGTCTTACGTTGAGGAAGCAGAAATGCCCTACTGCTGAGAGAGGAGCAAAAGCTCAGAAAGAACTCCTTTTTAGCAAAGTCTTCCTAGGCCTGCTAAAAACTGAAGGCCAGACAGGAAAACACAGAAAGAAATCCTCCAGCATTCCACACCCCATACTAAGCTAAGACAGCTGCAGTCGATCACGAGAGGATTATCAAATCTATGGTGTACTGAATATATAAATAGGATTGAAAACAGAGTAGAAATAGCAATAGCAAGGATGCATGACTTGCCAATATTTGAGGATAAAGAAGGAAAACCTAACACAACTTGCCTATTTACCAAACCCAACATTACTACAAGGCAGTAGTAGTTGGCTGACCATAGTGGAGGGCAGGAAAACCAGCCCCATACTCTAGTCCTGGATGTGATGAGAGACAGAAGTAATTGCAAAGCCTAAACCACGTTCAACCACAAATTAGAATGACTCAACACCTCCACAGTAACAGAAGCAATGTACCTATATCTGGGCATAAATTGTATTTACCTCAGGTTTTCTCTACCTTTACACACAAAGTATATACGACACATTAAAAAACAAGGATACATGACCCATCATCATGAAGGGATAAACAATAGAACCAAGCTAGAAGTTAGAATTATCAGGAACCCAAAAAATAATCAGAGATGAAATTACATACGCTATATCAAAAAGAGTAGAAAGGTGAGCAACATACATGAATTGTTAGGGGATTTTAGAAAATATAAAAATAAACACTGTGAGAGGAGCCCAATAAAGAGAACATAAATTGAGAGAGAGGGAGAGTGAAAAATAGATGAGGAATCACTAAGATTGGCTTACAGCCAGAATAGATACAGCAGTGGAAAGAATTAGTAAACCTGAAGAATCAGTGAACTATATCTATGGCCAAAATAGTTACAGCAGTGGAAATAATTAGTGAACTTGAACTAGTTAACTTGAAGAATTAGTCAACTTGTACTATTAAGTATCTTACCTGGAGCACAAGAGTGGAAATAAAGGAAATGGATTATTTTAAATTCATGGAACTATATTAAAACATTCAAATATACAAGTATTGGAGACCCAGGAAGAGAGGAAAGAAACAGAAAATGGGTCACAATAAATATTTGAAGAGATAAGGGTCAAAAAGTTTACAAATATTTGAAAATGAACAAGCAAATAGATATAAATTCAAAAAAATTTGGAGTACTTGAAGTGTGATAAAAAAAAAAAAAAAGAAAAACACAGCCAGGTATAGCGTAATCAAACCAATGAAAACTAAAAAATAGAAAAATTTGAAGCCAGCTAGAGAAAATTAAGATATGGTATAGATTGATGGTAAGAATAATTGCTGAATTCTCACAGAAACAATGGAAACCAGAAGAAAATAAAATTGTCTTTAGAAACCTAAAGAAAAAGTAAAACTAGAAATATATTTTCTGTGTAAATATATTTCAAAAATAAGAATAAAAATTTTATATCGATCTATATAAAAAGATACAAAATATAGATATGACAGAAAAAATCTGAAATCATCTCTAACAAAATTGTATTATACTACAGTCTTGTAGTAAATGCTAAAGTAAAGCAAATGCTAAAGAAAGTTTTATATTTTTAAACAGAAAAATAAAAATAGAATATATTATTTACTAAATACAAAGAACTTCTAAAAATTCCTGTGTTTAATGCAAACATATCACTACATGTTCTAAATTGAAAACAAAGGGGCTGGTTTCAGGACAGTAGTGCTCCATGTCTAAGGGATCCTGTGAATTGGCCTTGGATCAATGCCAAGCCCATTGAAAGCTGTGGCAGGGCTCCACGGCCCCTGAAGAAATTAATGAGACCATGATATCCAGCGTGAGGCAAACAAGAATGAAAGAAGTAGATGCTTTTGAAAGAATCAAAAAAGAATGGGCTTGGAAAACAGGATCTGACAGCCAACCTATAAGTGATAATCAAAAAATGAGTTGTGAATATTTTATAAATGGCCTTTAGAGGAAGCTCAGAAGATGGGTGCTAGCTGCTTGTCACTCACATAACATGATTGGTAAATGTCAGTATAAAATTATAAGAAGATGAATTATCAATCACTAATGACTTCAGACATTATTCTGATGTTGCAAGTTAGAAATTTCTGAAATCTATTATAATAGAGATTTACTTTTTAAAACTACGGGAGAATTTTTGATAAAGAGAATGTGGATGCTAAAGTTGAAGATAAAAAAATAATGAAGTGTGTTTGTCTATGAAGCCTGTATTCCAGTCCTTCTTAGGAAGAAATCACAGACTGGGAAGTGCCACGTGGAAAATATCTTTAAAGCAAAGAGTAGTGAAGATGAGAATAAAAATGATCTGTCTGTTGTCCCACTAAGCAATCTGGAACCCATCACTGCATTACAGATCTGGCTAGCCAACTGGAAAGGGATCATCCAGAAAGCAAATACTTCTCATAGGCACTTATAGGTATACATTTCTCTAAGCCTTGCTTGGGCTGCATCCCACAAGTTTTGGGTAAAGAACATCAAAAACTTCATTGGAAATTGCCAAGGGTCTCAAAAAACTCTTCCTTTTCCCTGGCACCAGGTCTTATTTTACTTGAATTGCAAGAGGAAACATTCACCCTGGAAGAAGCAGGTTTACACAATACTGTGATCAGAGACTCTAAAGACACAAATATTTTATGTAACTCCCATAGCATTCATTTTAACAAAAGAAGTGAAAAAATTTTAGAGTAAAATGCTTATAAGTAGGTATGCACATCAAAATAGAGTAATAAAATCTCAATTTCACTAGATATTGGTTCAAGTCTTGTTTTACTTTCTCCTTATTGGAGAATTTTAAAAAATTAATACAAATTACAAAAGTAAAATATAACTGGAGATGTATTTCTGAAACTCAATTTACTTATTTCCAAAAGGCTGCTCAGTGAGAAAAAATATATATTTTCAAATACGAATTAGTCAATACAAGTCATGTTATAAAAACTCTATAACTATGCTTTTTGTTCCTTTGCATTTGCTGAGGAGTGTTTTAATTCCAATTATGTGGTCAATTTTAGAATAATGTGATGTGGTGCTGAGAAGAATGTATATTCTGTTGATTTGGGGTGGAGAGTTCTGTAGATGTCTGTTAGGTCCGCTTGGTCCAGAGCTGAGTTCAAGTCCTGGATATCCTTGTTAATTTTCTGTCTTGTTGATCTGTCTAATATCAATTTAGATATGGTGCAAATTAGCATCGTTCATTGAAAAAAGTATCCATTGCCTTTCCAGACACTAGTGGTTTATTAAAAAGTCAGCTGTCTCATGTTTAAAAGATGGCAATAAATTTTAAAAATTCGACATTGCAAGTTAGGCTAAAACATAATTATGTTTTTACCTGAGATACAAGTAAAAGTCTGCAATGGAATCTTTTCCCCATATCGATGTCTTAATGTCACAATGTACTCAATTTTGTTCTGCAATGTCAAGATATACTCAAATATTTATCTGACAGCTGCATCTAAGAGGTATTTTTATTTAAGAATAACATTTTGTAGCTTATTAGAAGGCTAAGATCAAGATGTTGGCAGATTTAACTTCTGAGGATTTTCTCCTTGGCCTGCAAGATGGTTGTCTTCTGAGTGCCCTCACGTGGTCATTTCTCTGGAAGTGACCATTCTAGGTGTTTCTTCACCTTCTTATAAGGACACAATCACATTGAATTAAGGACCAATTCTTATAGCTTCATTTAACCTAATTATCTCTTTAATGGCCTTATCATTTGCAAATACAGTCACATTTAGGCTAGCGTTTCAGCATATAAATTGTGTGTTTGGGGGCAGTTCATAATAAGAGGTTTTATAGCACATGTGGAAGTAAAAATATTCCAAAGGAAAAAAAAAAAAGAAATTGGAAGGTATTTCTCTGAAAGCAAATAATAACAGAACACTTAAATTTTTGTGGAACAGCACACTATTTTAAACACAGAATATTCAAAGGTAAACAACAATATTACCTAACTTAAAGGAAACACAAAGCACAAATACACAAATACACGTGCATGAAATACAAATACAAAGACATGAGGAGATAAAATAAAATAAAAATTTTTGGATCCATCTAAATTAATAAGGGGGAGAACAGTAGATGTACAAACATGACACAAGTCAAAATTAAATAGCAATATATTAGACTTGAAGTCATGCATATCAATAATTTGTATTACATGTAGCTAAACTAAACACTCATTAAAAAGCAGACATTTTCAGTCTGGATAGAAAAGCAATATGTAATCATATGTCATTTACATGAAACACTGTAAATATAAAGATACAAAGAGGTTGAAAGTAATATGATGAACATGTATTTATCATGCCAACACTAACCTGTTGTTAAGGAAAGCTGTTGTTGCTATCCTTAAATAGAAAAAGTTTTATTCAAGAATATAAGAAGGGGCATTTCATAAAGTTAAAGGGGTTGGTTAATCAATAATCCATAGTACTAAATGTGGATTCATCTTAGAGCAAAGCTCCTAAGTACATGATGGAAAAAAAAAAAAGCTAGAAAAAGAATAGGTCAACTGGCAATAAGAGGAACACAGAAAATAAAAATACAATATAAATCAATTAAATAAAAGACAGAAAGAAAATAAGAGAATCAATAAAGTGAAAAGTTTTTTTCAAAAATATTAAAATTTTATGAACTGCTAATTGAATGCTGAAGAAAACAGAAGAAAATACAAATTAGCGATATCAGAAATGAAGAGGGGTCTCCACTACACGTCTCACAAATGTTAACATGATAACTAGTGGATATTTTTAGAACTCAATACCAATAAATTTGAAAAACAAAATGGAATGCAAGAATGACTTAAAAGATGCATAAAACCAATATCCTTCCAATAAGAATGAACAATCTAAATATTCCTATATCTACTTCAAATTTAATTCATAAAGAACTTTTCACAAAATAATCAGTTCTAGAATGCTTTAGTAATGACTGTAGTCAAATACTTAAGAGAGAAAGAATATCAACATTAAATAAGCTTTTTCAGAAAATAGAGGGGCAAGGGCTTCTCAATTCATCGTATGAGACAAATACAAGCCTAATAGCAAAATCAGACGCTGATATTACCCGTCCTAAAAATGAAAATTATGAAATAGTATTTCTTGTGAAAACAGATGCAAAAGTCATTAAAATATTAGCAAATCAAATCTATCAATATGGGAAAATAAAAACACATTAACATACGATGGTTTTACCAGGGACATAAGAATAATGTATCATTCAAAAATGACTGTTTTTATAACATTGATATATTGAGATCTTATTTGATAATTTCAACAGAGTCAGGAGATGCATTTGTCAAAGTATAATATCCATTTACTATTAAATATATTAGCAAAGTATAAATAGAAGGAGACTTCCTCAACCTGATAAAGCACATCTATGAAAAGTCCACAGATCACATCATACTTAAAAATAAAATACTTAATGCTTCTTCCACTTGGATCAAAACAAGATGAGAATACTATTCACATCACTTTTATTCAATTTTATACTGGTGCATTAGTCAGTCCAATAAGATAAGAAAATTAAAGGAATAGTGATTAAAAAGAAAGAAGTAAAACTCCTTCAATTCTGAGAAGGGAAGATTGCATGCATGAAAAAATGAAGGAACTTAACAAGAGTGGTATAACATACAATAAACAAATTTAGAATATTTCAAGATAAAGCCAAATTCAAAAGTAAAAATTAAAAACTGAAATTTAAAATTACTAATTAAAATAGTATCAAAAATCATTATGTATGGAAGTATAAAATTAATTTAAAAGTTAAATACTTTTTACAGTCCAAGCTATAAATTATTGATGACAAAAACCGCAGATTTGCTGTAGACAATGGTTTTGGCTCCCCATATTTCTTATATTGAAATTTTGACATCCAATGTGATAATATTAGGAGGCTGGGTCTTTGGTGCTTAATCAGGTCATGAGGATGGAGCCCTTTGCTACTTCTGCTGTGTGAAGACACAGCAAGAAGTCAGCAGTCTGCAACCTGGAAGAGGGACCTCACCAGAATGCGACCATGCTGGCTTCCTGGTCTCAGACTTATAGCTTCCAGAGCTGTGAAAAATAAATGTCTGTTGTACATAAGCCCCTCAGTCTACGGCACTTCATTATAGCAACCACGATAGAATAAGCCAAGATTTAAATAAATGTAGAACTATACCATATCTATGGATTAAAAGATTTAATGTTACTAATATATCAATTCTGAAATTGATCTATGAATTCAGTGAAATCTCAATTAAAATTTTAGCAAACTTTTGTGTATTAATTGACAAAATTAATTTTAAAATTTATCTGTAAAGGTAGAGATCAATAAAATCAAAATAATCTTGAAAAAATCCACTTGAAAAATGTTACTTTATGATAAAATTACAATCATCATGAAAGTACGGTATTGTCTTAGTAAAGCATAACAGAGAATTGAGTAACAGACGTAATTGAACAAGTTTTAAGAAAGCCTGCAAGGAAATTTGATAAAGAAATAAAAACATCTTCATTAAATTGTGCTGGAAAAAGTAGATATTTGTGTTGAGAAGATGAGAAGAGTGAACAAAAGAAACATAATGACTATCTCACAAAATACACAAACATTAATTTGAAATGAATCAGAGACCTAAATTTAAAACTAAAATAATAAATGTGTCACACAAAAAGATATGGTAATGTATTTCAATCTGTAATAGGCAAAGACTTCTTTGTGCATATGCAGAAAGCATGAATCATAAATAAAAAACTGATACATTGGAATGCTAAAAATGGAAAATGTTTACCTAAAAAGGAAAAGAAACAGGAAAAAAAATATGCAATCCAAAGTCTGGAGAATATTTTCAACACAAACATCTGACAAAGGACTCTATTCGGAGTATATATATATATATATTCTTAAATTCAGTAATATAAGATCAACATTTATATAAAAGAAAAAATATTATAAGGCATGGACATAGAATTCATTAAAGAAGATAATCAAATATATAATAAAGTACATGGAACAATGGTCAACAGTGCTACTTACAAGAGAAATATGAATTAAAACTACAATAAAATATTATCCCACATCCATTAGAATCAGTAAATAAAAATAAGTGTATCAAATTTTGGACAGCAGGTGAAACAGCTTGAATTTTATACATTGCTGGTTTAAAATGGCACAGCCACTTTTGATAATGACAGTAATTTCAGAGAGTTAAACATATGTTATCTTCTGAAATGGTGATACTATGAGTATATATTCAAAATAGAGAAAATATATGTCCACAAAAGACCTGTATAACCCTTGTTCATAGCTTATCAATAATAGCCCTAAAATAGAAACAACTCACCAAGTTGGTATCCACAAAAGAAGCTGTGATGGTTAATATTGAGTGTCAACTTGATTGGATTGAGGGATACAAAGTATTAATCTTGGGTATGTCTGTGTGGGTGCCGTCAAAAGAGATTAACATTTGAGTCAATTAACTGGAGAAGGCAGATCCACCTTTAACCCAGTGGGCACAATCTAATCAGCTGGCAGCAAATATAAAGCAGGCAGGGAAACGCAAAGAGATGAGATGAACCTAGCCTCTCAGCCTACATCTTTCTCCTGTGCTGAATGCTTCCTGCTCTTGAACATTGGATCCAAGTTCTTCAGTTTTGGGACTCAAACTGGCTCTCCTTGCTCCTCAGCTTGCAGATAGCCTATTGTGGGATGTTGTGATCATGTAAGTTAATAGTTAATAAACTCCCATTTATATACATTTATACACACACACACACACACACACACACACACACACACACACACACACAATTAGTCTGTCCCTCTAAGAGAACCCTGACTAATACAGATTTTGGTACTCTTTTGATACTGGGAGTGGTTCTAGAGGAACAGAATATTAAGGATCTACTTTCTTTGCTGGTTTTGAGGTTTCTGGAGTTGGCTGCTTAATATGATTAGTCCCCAAAATGCTAAGGACTCTACCTCTAATAGTATGCAAAACACTGATAGTCCTTGGCAGAAACTGTTTAGAGAGTTATGCAAAATAAATGCATTTGACACTCCTGATTCACTGCTTGTGAGAGGCAAGGAGTTTAGTGACTTTATACATTAATATCTTTGACCATATGTGGAGAACCAAGGAACATAATGAAGGTGGTTGGTTGCTACTACAGTGGACAAAGTGATGAAAGAAAATGGTGAACTCACGGATTCTATCTCCTGGCTTCAGAAGCAGATACTGAGCCCCAAATCTGCTAAGATTGTCCTGAATGAGAGTCTTATCCCCTGTAGAGAAAGAGCTGAAATTGTGAATAAACAGACACAAGCTCTTATCGTGTGAGTAGCTGACCTGCAACGAAAGATTCAGGCACAACTTTGCCAGGTGTCTACTGTTAAAGTGAGGGCATTGATTGGAAAAGAAGGCGACCTTGAAACTTGGAATGGGGACATGTGGGAGGAACATGATGAAACTGGGGACACTGAGTTTGTAAACTCTGTTGAAACTTTTTTGCCAGAAGGAACAGAACAGCTTCCCCATCCCCAGTAGTGGCAACATCTCCTCCCTGACCCATGCTGCCATCAGCATTTTTCACCTTTGTCTGAAGAGATAAACCCTGCACTCCTGAGGCAACAGTGATGGTCTCTCCTGATGGAGTTGCTAGGCAAGATAATGTTGATTCTCCTCAGAAACCACCCACAACACCTCTGTTTGCTTTTAGACCTATAACTAGACTAAAGTCCTGGTGGGCCCCTAGAAGTGAGGTTGAGAGTGTGACCCATGAGGAGGTGTGCTACACTCAGAAAGAACTGTTTGAGTTATCTGTATAAATAGCAATCTGAAGAACAGGCATGGGAATGGATATTGAGGGTATGGGATAGTGATGGAAGAAACATAGAGCTGGATCAGGCTGAGTTTATTGATTTGGGCCGGCTGAGTAGTGACTCTGCATTTAATGTTGCAGCTCAGGGAGTTAAAAAAGGTTCTAATAGTTCATTTGCTTGGTTAGCTGAAATATAAAGATGGCCTACTGTGAGCAAGCTGGAAATGCCTGATCTCCCTTGGTTTAATACAGAGGAAGGGATCCAAAGGCTTAGGGAGACTGGGATGATGGAGTGGATTAGTCAATTTAGACCTACTTATCCCAGCTGGGAGGGTCCAGAAGATATATCCTTGAGCAATGACTTGCAAAATACATTTGTGAGAGCAGCACCTGCATCTTTGAAGCACCCTGTAATTGCTCTTCTCTTATGTCAGAGCTAACATTGGAAACCACCATCACTCAACTACAAAATTTAAATAAAATGGGAATAATTCGATCCCGAGGTGGGGGGGGCCAAGTGGCAGCACTCAACCATCAAAGGCAAGATGGGCATAGCTACGGTAATATACAGCAGAAGCAAAGCAGCTATCAGAATAGTTTGACCCATGTAGAGCTCTGGCATTGGCTACTTAATCATGGTGTTCGTAGAAGTGAAACTGACAAGAAGCCTACTGCATTCCTACTTAATTTATATAAGAAGAAAACTTCTAGGTTGAATGGACAAAAGACTAATCTGAATTATAAAAACAGAGAGTCATGGCCCCTCAATCAATTTCCAGACTGGAGCTAGTTTACAGACCCAGTACCCCTTGAATGAAGGAGAGGCCAAGTTTCCCTTAAGAAGGATCCCACCACACTCCAGACAATTTTTGCAGTGAATCTTTCCCCCATCCTTCCCCAAGGAGACATCCAGCCTTTTACCAGGGTAACTGTGCTTTGGAGAAGGGGAAGTGATCAGACATTTCAGTGACTACTGGACACTGGCTCTGAGCTGACACTGATTCCAGGGCAACCAAAACATCACTGTGGTCTTCCAGTTTAAGTATGGACATATGGAGGTCAGGTAATTAACGGAGTTTTAGCTCAGGTCTGACTTACAGAGGGTCCCTGGATTCATCCTATGGTCATTTCCTTAGTGTCAGAATGCATAATTGGCGTAAGTATACTTAGCAGCTTGCAGAACCCACACATTGGCTCCCTGACTGATAGGATGAGGGCTATTATGGTGGGAAAGGCAAAATGGAAGCCATTATAGCTGCCTCTACCTGGAAAAATAGTAAATCAAAACAATATCATATCCCTCGAGGGATTGCAGAGATTAGTGCCACTTGTCTTGAAAGACACAGGGGTGGTGATTCACACCATAACACAGTTCAACTCTCCTATTTGGCCTGTGCAGAAGACAGAAGGATCTTGGAGAATGACAGTGGATTATCATAAGCTTAAACAAGTGGTAACTCAAATTGCAGCTGCTGTACCAGATGTGGTTTAATTGCTTGAGCAAATTAACATATTTGGTACCTGGTATGCAGCCATTGACTTGGCAAATGCCTTTTTCTCCATTCCTTTTCATAAGGCCTACCAGAAGCAATTTGCCTTCAGCTGGCAAGGCCAGCAATATACCTTTACTGTCCTACCACAGGGATATATCAACTCTCCGGCTTTGTGTCATAATCTTATTCAGAGGAAATCTTGATCACTTTTCGCTTCTGTAAGATATCACACTGGTCCATTACATTTATGACATTATGCTGATTGGATCCAGTGAGCAAGAAGTAGCAAACACACTGGACTTATTGATGAGACATTTGCATGCCAGAGGATGGGAAATAAATCTGGCTTAAATTCAGGGATCTTCTACCTCAGTAGAATTTCTAGGGGTCCAGTGGTGTGGGGCCTGTTGAGATATTCCTTCAAAGATAAAGGATAAGTTACCACATTTGGTCGCTCCTACAACCAAGAAAGAGGCACAATGCCTAGTGGGCCTATTTGGATTTTGGAGGAAACACATTCCTCATTTGGGTGTGTTACTCTGGCCCATTTATCAAGTGACATGAAAAGCTGCCAGTTTTGGGTGGGTTCCAGGACAGGAGAAGGCTTTGCTAAGGTCCAGGCTGCTGTTTAAGCTGCTGTGCCACTTGGGCCATATGACCCAGCAGATCCAATGGTGTTTCAGGTGTCAGCAGCAGATAAGGATGCTGTTTGGAACCTTTGGCAGGTTCGCATAGGTGAATCACAGCGGAGGCCTCTAGGATTTTGGAGCAAGTCCCTGCCATCTTTTGCAAATAACTACTCTCTTTTTGAGAGACAGGTCTTGGCCTATTACTGGGCTTTGGTGGAAACTGAACATTTAACTGTGGGTCATCAAGTCATCATGTGGCCTGAACTGCCTATCATGAACTGGGTGCTTTCTGACCCATCTAGTCATAAAGTGGGTTGTGCATAGCAGCATTCCATCATCAAATGACAGTGGTATACATGTGATGGATCTTGACCAGGTCCTGAAGGCACAAGTAAGTTATATGAGGAAGTGCCTCAAATTCTCATGGTCTCCACTACTGCCACCCTGCCTTCTCTCCTCCAGCCTGCACTGATGGCCTCATGGGGAGTTGACAATATAATAGTTGACAGAGGAAGAGAAAAATAGGGCCTGGTTCACAGATGGTTCTACATGATATGCAGACACTACTTGAACGTGGACAGCAGCAGCACTACAGCCTCTTTCTAGGACATTCTTGAAGGACAGCGGTGAAAGGAAATCTTCCCAGTGGGCAGAACTTCGAGGAGTGTACCTGGTTGTGCACTTTGCATGGAAGGAGAAATGGCCAGATGTGCGATTACATACTGATTCATGGACTGTAGCCAATGGTTTGGCTGGATGGTCAGGGACTTGGAAGAAGCATGATTGGAATATTGTTGACAAAGAAATTTGGGGAAGAGGTATGTGGCTGGACCTCTCTGAGTGGTCAAAAACTGTGAAGATATTTGTATCCCATGGGAGTGCTCATCAATGTGTGACCTCAGAAGAAGAGGAGTTTAATAATCAAGTGGGTACAGTACCTAGAGGATTCAGAGATTTTTATAAAGTTATTTTTAAGATACAAGACAATACCTAGAGAATTCAGAGATTATTATAAAGTTATTTTTTAAAGCCCCTACAAAAATACTATTGATTCACAGTTCATTGTGATTCAGATCTCCAGACATAAATAACAGAAAACATTTTCATCCCAAATGAGGTAAAGTAAGGAAAAAATAAAAAAGCTTTAACGTTTTTTGTGCTCCTCAACTCACAATGGGGTTAAGCCTTGATAAATCCATCATAGGTTGAAAATATTGTCAGTCAAATGTATTTACTACACCTAACCTACCAAATGTCATACCTTAACCTGGCCTACCTTAAACAGGCTCAGAACATTTACATTTGCCTATAGTTGTACAAAATCATCTAATATAAAATCTATTTTATAATTAAGTGTTGAATAATTCATGGCTGTTAACCTTTGTGATTATTTGGCTAACTGGGAGCTGTGGCACACTGCCCAGTATTACACGAGAGTATTGTACCATATATCTACAGCCAGCAAAAGTAAAAAATCAAAATTTGCATTTCTGTTTCTACTGAATTTGTATTGCTTTCATAACATCATAAAGTCAAAACACCATGTCAAATGACAGTAAGTTGGGAACTGTCTGTTATTTAAATAAAGTACTTAATATATTAGAAAACCTTTGTACCATAATTGGCAATAAAATTAAGAATTTTAAGAGGTTTTGGTCCATCTATTTCCAAATTCTACTTATCTTGAGGAAGGTTTACATTTAAGTGATATATTTCATTTCAAAGACTTTCTTAACATTGATCTATTCAACAGATTTTTCAGCATCAACTAAATATCTGACACCACTGCTACGTGTTGGGGATGTCAATTCAAAATATAGATGGCTTCTGGATTAATCTTGATAGAAATCTGTTTTCAAAAAGTCAATGTATTTTGGGAAGAGTTATAATAATGTATCATAGCTCTAAGCTACAATAATACAATATATAAATTCATGTCAATCTTGCTCAGAAATTCTATTCAGATGCCTAAAATCTAATCAATATATCATAATCAATTAAAACAGTTTACTCTGGTAGTTCTCTGTGATACATTTAACATATTTTCACTGTATTAGACATAAATAATGTTTATTAATAAATCCCACTGCAAAACAGTTCAGGTGGCTTTGGGTCTACCCAGTTCTCCCCCAACTCTTGCTTGTATTTTTCAAGAATAACCATAGAATGTGCTAGGAAGGCAACATTCTGAGAAGAGGAGAAATTGTCCTGAACAGCATTCTATGTTCTAGTCTCCCTGCTAGAAACAGGATGTCCTTCATGCCTTATCCCAGAGTCTCCTGGGACCCTGGCATATAAGACCCAGGATTGCTGCTTTCTAGAATCCTCCAGGGTCAGTGCAAGTGGGACACATGCAGATAAAATTCCGTCTAACCCAAGCAGCTTTTCTGAGCCTCAGGGAACCAGCTCACAGTGAATCCCAAGTTTCTGTTACTCCTTGCCGCCCATCTATAAACTGACTTCATGGATGTTTGGATGTGTGTGCGGATGTTCTGACTCATTGGACTCGGAGAAGTTGGTAACTCTGAACTTTCTTCATATCCATCTAATCATGGCACTCAAAATGAATTAACATACTTGAGAATTTGAAAAGATCAAAAATATTTTCTCTGATATGGACTTACTACTACTGCTGTATATACACAGACAAATGATAGTGGCTATGTTCCAACAAAACTCTATTTACAGAAACAGGCAAAAATTGGCCAGTAGGCTGTCATTTGCTAATCATCGATTCAGATAATATTACATCTGATTTTCATTACTCAATTCTTGAAAGATTGATACTGTATACAACACAATTAACGTGGAATACTGGGAAAATGGAATCCAAAATACTCATTTTAAAACATTAATTTGTTAACACAATTCATTTTAATGATTCCATAAAGCCAAAAGACAAAGTCGGTATAAGGCAGAGGTGGTATTTTTTTGAAAATCTACAAGTGTGTCCTGCTGACTATCGAGTTACATAGAGCACTTATCAAGAAAATAAAAATAAATCCTAGAAATGTCAGTTTTGCTTTAATTCAATTCAAATTTAAAGCAAATTAAAAACAAAAAATGCAAACTCATTTTTACAAGCAATGAACAACATTTACAGGTTCCTAGTAATATGAAAAAATTCAAGGTTTCTTACATGTTTCAAACTTTTAAACAAAGCAATGCATATTGTTCAAGATATGTGTTACATTTTAATTAAAATTAACCAGTTGAACAGTTCTTTTTTTTTCTTTTTTTTTATTATATTTAAGTTCTGGGATGCATGTGCAGAAGGTGCAGGTTTGTTACATAGGTATACACAGGCCATTGCGGTTGGTTGCACCCATCAACCTGTCATCTACATTAGGTATTTCTCCTGATGCTATCCCTCCCTTAGTCCCTTACCACCTGACGGGCCTGGGTGTGTGATGTTACCCTCCCTGTGTCCATGTGTTCTACAATACGTATTTCTCCTTTTTAATGTGCTGCTGGATTCGATTTGCCAGTATTTTATTGAGGATTTTCACATCAATGTTCATCAGGGATATTGGCCTGAAATTTTCTTTTTTTTGTTGTGTCTCTGCCAGGTTTTGGTATCAGGATGATACTGGCCTCAAAATGAGTTAGGGAGGAGTCCCTCTTTTTGTATTGCTTGGAATAGCTTTAGGAGGAATGGTACCAGCTCCTCTTTGTACCTGTAGTAGAATTCGGCTGTGAATCCATCTGGTCCTGGGCTTTTTTTGCTTGGTAGGCTATTAATTGCTACCTCAATTTCAGAACTTGTTATTGGTCTATTCAGGGCTTCACTTTCTTCCTGGTTTAGACTTGGGAGGTGTATGTGTCCAGAAATTTATCAATTTCTTCTAGATTTTCTAGTTTATTTGTATAGAGGTATTTATAGTATTTTCTGATGGTAGTTTGTATTTCTGTGGAATCAGTGGTGATATCCCCTTTATCATTTTTTATTCTGTCTATTTGATTCTTCTCTCTTTTCTTCTTTATTAGTCTAGCTAGCAGTCTATCTATTTTGTTAATCTTTTCAAAAACCCAGTTCCTGGATTCATTGATTTTTTTGAAGGGTTTTTTGTGTCTCTATCTCCTTCAGTTGTACTGTCATCTTAGTTATTTCTTGTCTTCTGCTAGCATTTGAATTTGTTTGCTCTCGCTTCTCTAGTTCTTTTAATTGTGGTGTTAGGGGGTCAATTTTACATCTTTCCAGCTTTCTCCTGTGGGCATTTAGTGCTATAAATTTCCCTCTAAACACTGCTTTAGCTGTGTCCCAGAGATTCTGATACATTATGTCTTTGTTCTCATTTGTTTCAAAGGATATATTTATTTCTGCCTTAATTTCGTTATTTACCCAGTAGTCATTCAGGAGCAGGTTGTTCAGTTTCCATGCAGTTGTGTGGTTTTGAGTGAGTTTCTTAATCCTGAGTTCTAATTTGATTGCACTGGTGTCTGAGAGACTGTGTGTTATGATTTTCATTCTTTTGCATTTGCTGAGGAGTCTTTTACTTCCAATTATGTGGTTGATTTTAGAATAAGTGCTATGTGGTACTGAGAAGAATGTATATTCTGTTGATTTGGGGTGGAGAGTTCTGTAGATGTCTATTAGGTCTGCTTGGACCAGAGCTGAGTTCAAGTCCTCAATATCCTTGTTAATTTTCTGTCTCATTGATCTGTCTCATATTGACAGTGGGGTGTTAAAGTCTCCCACTATTATTATGTGGGAGTCTAAGACTCTTTGTAGGTCACTAAGAACTTGCTTTATGAACGTGGGTGCTCCTGTATTGGGTGCATATATATTTAGGATAGTTAGCTCTTCTTGTGTAATGTAATGCTCTTTGTCTTTTTTGATATTTGTTGGTTTAAAGACTGTTTTATCAGAGACTAGGACTGCAACCCCTGCTTTTTAATTTTTTTTTTTATTTTTTGCTTTCCATTTGCTTAGTAAATCTTCCTCCATACCTTTATTCTGACCCTATGTGTATCTTTGCATGTGAGATGGGCCTCCTGAATACAGCACACCGATGAATCTTGACTCTTTATCCAATGTGCCAGTCTGTGTCTTTTAATTGGGACATTTAGTCCATTTAAATTTAAGATTAATATTGTTATGTGTGAATTTGATCCTGTCATTATGATGCTAGCTGGTTTTTTTTTCCCACTAGTTGATGCAGTTTCTTCATAGTGACGATGGTCTTTACATTTCGGATTGTTTTTGCTGTGGCTGGTGCCAGTTTTTCCTTTCTATATTTAGTGCTTCCTTCAGGAGCTCTTGTAAGGTAGGCCTGGTGGTGACAAAATCTCTCAGCATTTGCTTGTCTGTAATGGATCTTATTTCTCCTTCACTTATGAAGCTTTTTTCGCTGGATATGAAATTCTGTGTTGAAAATTCTTTTATTTAAGAACGTTGAGTATTGGCCCCCACTCTCTTCTGGCTTGTAGGGTTCTGCAGAGAGATCTGCTGTTAGTCTCATGGGCTTCCCTTTGTTGGTAAGCTGACCTTTTTGGCTGCCCTGAACATATTTTCCTTCATTTCAACCTTGGTGAATCTGATGAATATGTGTCTTGGGGTTGCTCTTCTTAAGGAGTATCTTTGTGGTGTTCTCTGTATTTTCTGAATTTGAATGTTGGCCTGTCTTCCTAGGTTGGGGAAGATCTCCTGGATAATATTCTAAAGTGTGTTTTCCAATTCGATGCATTCTCCCCATCACTTTCAGGTACACCAATCAAACGTAGGTGCGGTCTCTTCACATAGTTCCATATTCCTTGGAGGCTTTGTTCGTTCCTTTTCATTCTTTTTTTTATCTAATCTTGTCTTCATACTTTATTTCATTAAGTTGATCTTCAGTCTCTGATATCCTTTCTTCTGCTTGATCAATTCAGCTATTGATACTTGTATATGCTTCACGAAGTTCTCGTGCTGTTTGTCACCTCCATCAGGCCATTTATGTTCTTCTCAAAACTGGTTATTCTAGTTAGCAGTTCCTGTAACCTTCTATCAAAGTTCTTAGCTTCCTTGACTTGTATTGGTTTAGAACATTCCTCTTTAGCTAGGAGGAGTTTGTTATTACCCACCTTCTGAAGCCTACTTCTATCAATTCATCAAACTCAATCCAGTTTTGTTCCCTTCCTGGCAAGGAGTTGTGATCCTTTGGAGGAGAAGAGGCATTCTGGTTTTCGGAATTTTCAGCCTTTTTGTGCTGGCTTTTCCTCATCTTCATGGATTTGTCTACTTTTGGTCTTTGATGTTGGTGACCTTTAGATGGGGTTTTCGAGTGGTCATCCTTTTTGTTGATGTCGATGCTATTGCTTTTGTTTGCAGGACCCTGTTCTGCAGGTCTGCTGGAGTTTGCAGGAGGTCCACTCCAGACCCTGTTTGCCTGGATATCACCAGTGGAGGTAGCATAACAGCAAAGATTGCTGCCTGCTTCTTCCTCTGGAAGCTTCGTCCCAGAAGGACACCTGCCAGATGTCAGCTGGAGCTCTCCTGTATGAGGTGTTTGTCGAACTTTGCTGGGAGGTGTCTCCCTGTCAGGAGGCATGGGGGTCAGGGACCCATTTAAGGAGGCAGTCTGTCCCTTACTAGAGCACGAGCGCTGTGCTGGGAGACCCACTGCTCTCTTCAGAGCCGGCAGGCAGGAACATTGAAGTCTGCTGAAGTTGTGCCCACAGCAGCCCCTTCCCCCAGGTGTTCTGTCCCAGGGAGATGGGAGTTTTATCTACAAGCCACTGACTGGGGCTGCTGTCTTTCCTTCAGAGATGTCCTGCCCATAGAGGAGGAATCTAGAGAGGCAGTCTGGCTACAGCACATTTGTGGACTGCGGTGGGCTCCGCCCAGTCCAAACTTCCCAGTGGTTTTGTTTACACTGAGGGGAAAACCGCCTGCTCAAGCCTCAGTAATGGCAGATGTCCCTTCCCCCACCAAGCTCCAGTGTCCCAGGTCGACTTCAGATTAGTGTGCTGGCAGCAAGCATTTCAAGTGAGTGGATCTTAGCTTGCTGGGTTCTGTGGAGATAGGATCTGCTGAGCAAGAACCCTTAGCTCCCTGGCTTCAGCCCCATTTCCAGGCGAATAAACAGTTCTGTATTGCTGGCATTCCAGGCACCACTGGCGTACAGAAAAAAAATCTCCTGCAGCCTACTTGGTGTCTGCCCAAAGGACGTCCAGTTTTGTGCTTGAAACCCAGGGTGCTGGTGGCATAGGCACCCGAGGGAATCTACTGGTTTGCAGGTTGCGAAGACTGGGAAAAGCGTGGTATTTGGGCTGGAATGCAGGCTTCCTCATGGCACAGTCCCTCACGGCTTCCCTTGGCTAGGGCAGGGAGTTCACCAACCCCTTGCACTTCCTGGGTGAGATGACATCCCACCCTGCTTTGGCTCTCCCTCCGTGGGCTGCACCCACTGCCTAACCAGACCCAATGAGATGAGCTGGGTACCTCACTTGGAAATGCAGAAATCACCCACCTTCTATGTTGGTCTCACTGGGAGCTTCAGACTGGAGCTGTTCCTATTCAGTCATATTGCCCATGAATCCCTGAATCCAAAATATTAAACACAAATATGGATTGGTATTTTGAAGGTCAGTGGAAAATAGATTACCTTCTACAGGTAATTTCTTTTTGTCACTGTTGGTCTCCATGTTGTGAAAGCATAGAGCAATGAGAGTTTTTGACCAGCAGTGGTCTGCAGATCACACCTTGTGAAACTTTGCTTAGAGCAAAATACAGTACCTTATATTTTTCTTGCCAAAGTTCAATGTCTCTGGACAACATTGGATGAGTATTCATCACATCTAGATTGTTAGGCTTTTGTTTTTCCAAATTTTTAAATGGAATATGCTTACAAACTTAGTATAGTAAGAACATTTTAAGATATTGAGTGTTCCCTGATGCTTTGATATACATGGTTATTAAAAACAGCTTTGCTCAGAAATTGCAGTCTATCCCTATCATTCATATATTAGCCACAAGCTATTGTTAGTTGTTTGATTTTTTTTAAGCTTAGATTGATATCATTATTTATCTTGGCTCCATCTGAAAATGTTTTGTTTACTTTGTGCCCATGCTTTGGCATGTTCTACAGCTCAGGGTAGAAACACACACACAATAGACTTACATACACAACTATGATACACAATTGTTAAGCAACTGACTATTACATCCATTTTTCCATAAAAGATACACTAATCTTATAGTAAATATATATTTTTAAATCTAAGTATAAAGGATCAAATATTTTAAAAATCTATTTAGTATTCCTTCCTACCAATTTATAATTATATTTGACTTTTATTGTTACCATTATTGAACTGACTGATTGGCTAACTTCTCTTCTATTATTTTCTTCCTTTTGACCTTCAAAAACTAGACATGTTGACTAGAGATAGCTGCAAAAACACATTCTTTGCAATTTTTTTTGTTAATCAAATCTTGAGCAACACTGCATTTCTTTCTATGTTAATATCTGGTTCTTTATTGAAATTGAGTAATTGTGTTATGAAATATGTTATTTCTTAGGCAGAATTTATGCAAACGATTTGCATTGTGATGCAATAAGAATGAGAAAAGCTACATGAAAAGTAAACTCACGAAATCAAATTATGTGAAAAAATTTAGATTAACTGTATTTAACTTTAACATCATTTTCTGATTTTTAATGTAAATCTTTATTTAGTTTCATTATTTCAAATAAGAAATCACAATACTTCATGAATTGTTTCAAACAATGATGAAAGAGAAGCAATAGTTTTGGTGAAAACCTTCAAGGTCAATGAAATTGCCATAGCATGGTAGTCAGTAAGTTGTATGAGAGTTATTAGAAAGAAGAGACTGAGGGTATAAGAGTTTTAGTAAACATATTATAAAGAATAAATATTTAGCAATTTATATCAGACTAAAATTAAAGCAAAATATTTTACAAAATTAAATTTAAAAAGGAAAGACTGATGTGAGCACATTTGATTAACAAGAATATATTTCGGCTTTGTTAGTAACCCCAGTGGCCTAGAGGTTAGTAACTCCAAGCTACCAAGTACCAGTATTGTGGAATAATATTAAATGCCCACATTTTGATCAACAATACTATTTTTATTTAAAGTCTCCAGACCTACTTTGAGAATGCTGCTTTAATGAATGAATACATAAAAATAAAGATATATCTTAAACCTTGCTCTACAGATAGAATATTATATTTAATCTAATCTAATATTATATTATAATATTATAAACACATAGTATTCCCACTGACAAAGTGTGATAATGTTACTATCAAAAGAAAATACTTATAGCAAGCTTTAAAATTGAGTCTAAGCAGCAAACCACCATGGCACGTGTATACCTATGTAACAAACCTGCACGTTCTGCACATGTACCCCAGAACTTAAAGTATAATAATAAAAAAAATAAAACTGAGTCTGTAAGAAGCCTTGATAATATAAACATTCACAAGAAAACTAATATCAATATATAATTTATAAAGTCAGAAGAGGTAACTTCAGCAGTGAAGAAGATTGCCAAAATGAAAACAGTTTTCATTTTTATTAAGTGTAATACATTGGGAAGTGTTCAGATATGTGGGTTTTCAATTTCATCTGCTACCTAAATGTTAATGAAAGAAGGGATGTGATTTTCACTATCTATCATAGTATAGACAGATGGACTCAGTGAACTTAAAGCCAGTCAAGCAATTAATATGTTGCATTGGGTATTTATCTTCTAGAAAGAATTAAATTGTTTATCCAAAATGATCATAAAAGAGAATTAATTTGCTGTATAGATTCTAACTTCTTATAAAACTACACAGTTCTAACATTTGTTTTCTGTTGAACTGAAGGTTGCTGGCTGGGGCCAGGCTTACCCAGTATGTAACTCAGCCTCTCTTTAGTACAGCTCTAGGAGTTTCTGAAATCTAGTTTGAAAAGAGCAATTCTAGAATATTAGCAAACTTGTCCTGCAGCCCTGTGATATTTGGCAGGGCAAATATCATCATTACCAATACTTACTTTTATCCTCTAAAATTATAATTGACCTTTATAATTTATATATTATAAAAATGATCTGTTATTGTCCATGGCCCTTGGATAGTTTCTTAAGATCTTGGATCATTAGCACTCAAATACATCTTTGATATTACTTCAGTCAATGTGCTTTTTAACAATTCTGCTCTAAATAGAAAAATCAGCAGTGAACCAGTGGGATAGTAATTCTCTGAGCAGTAATCTTGAAACAGCAATATTAGTTCAAAGAGCGTATAGCCATGTAAAATGAAGTTCAGATACAGTTATAGGCCATGGACTTCTTTAGCTCTGACCACAACTCTCAATAACAAGAACAAAGATGCCTTATAAGGTCTAGTGGCAGCTCTTTGGTCACAAACAGACACAGGGATTTAGAAGACCAGTATTACCATTCAAGTGCCACACAGAGTTAGAAAGTTTCTAATAAACAATTTTAGTTAATATTTAAATATTTATAGTTCTTTTCTACCTCCTTTTTAGTTTTCAATGATATTTGTAACCACTTTTTATTATGACCAGATTTCCTTTCTTTAATTTAACATTTTTCTGTATTACCCCAAAATCTATTGTGTTGAAACTAATTTGTTTACATTGTCTCTGGATAAAATATGGATCCTGTGTTTTTTCAAGCCAGGCATTTATATAACTTTCCTTGGCATTGATAAAGGGAATATTATTCAAGAATAATGCATTTCTTCTTATGTCCCTTGATTATATAATCCATAATAATCCAATTATGTATTCAAGGGATACAAGAAGAAATCAAATCAAATGAAAAGTACCTCATAATGTAAATAAAACTATATGTATATTCTGAAATTGTACTCTTGAAATTACATCTAATATTAAATATTCCGTGAGTTTTTAAACTTGCTGTGTGTGAACGTGTATGCAGTTAAGCATACAGCCAAATATAGCCAATTGAAGTCACTGACTCAGATAGTACAATTCCTTGAGTTGTAGAAAATTACAATATTAAGATATTTTGAATGAGGTATGCTGTTTTATAATTATGAAAGCGAACAATAATAGATGAAGAAAATTCTGTAATTAATCAAGATTTGAGAAATTAGCTTTGAATACAAGTCACAGAAACATTCTTCATTAATAATTCAATAAGATTTTCCTTAATAGGTTACTAAAATTTTATATGTATATTCATACCTCTTATGCAGATGACATTCTACTAGGAGATATGGAGAATTTTAACACATAAAATACTATTTTGTGGTGACAAGAGATTGACAATTTAACATAGAAGAGAATATGTTCATAATGTCCATTTTTTTTTCTAAGAGGATTTTTCCTTCTGCAAAGAAAGGCACTCAAACTGATCCTTAAAGAATTAGAAAAATTTAGAGAAGAGAAATTGAATCAGAAAGGAAGGAGAAAAGAGGGAATAGTAGGGGCAAGGGTATCCTGGTTAGAAAGGTGTCAATGAAACCAACACAGCTTTCCATGGCAGAGGGATGTAAGGGAAATTGGAACACTGGGCATCAAGGGAAAGTCATAGAACATTCTTGGGAGCCCCAAATTGTTAGATCATTTGTCTGAATATAGGATTCTAGATTAACACTTATTTTTCTCAGGACATTAAAATAATATGTTGTCTGACAATCAACTCCTTTCTCATGCTAGTACGTCCTCCTTTTCCTATCATTCCTTTCTTTTCCATCCATATGTCCATCAGTCAATGAATGGATAAAATACAGTATGTCCAATATATGAAATATTATTTATGAATTATAATTATTATTTTGCTCTTTCCTTATTTTTTCTTTAACTCTTTCTTTTATAATTGATATCTCTGTTAAGTATTTAAATCAGTTGTTGCAGATTATTGATAATTGCAAAATCAGCACACATGAAGGGCTGGACCAGCACAATTTAAGTGATCCTTGGTGATAACTTGAGGATATTTGTTACTAATTGATATATTATTAAGAGACAATTACACCATAATGTGATGTCACATCACACTTACTTGGTTATAATTAAAAAGATATAAAAGTAGTGTTGGTGAGGATGTGAGAGGCTGGAAGCTTTGTACTGTGCTGGTAGGAATGTAAAATGGTACTGCTACTTTGTAAAAGTCTGGCAGTTTCTCAAAAAGTGAAACATAGAATTACTATATGATCCCACAATTCCACTCCCAGACAAGTACTTGAGAAGTAAAAATATATATACACCAAGTTCATAGCAGCACTATTTATAATAAACAGGGAAGAAACATATAAATGTCCATCAACTGATGAATGAATAAATGTGTTATGTGCAGTGAAATATTATTTGTCAATAATAAAAAATAAAGTACTGATGCATACTAAATTAAAAATGAATTTTTAAAAATATTATGTCAACAAAAGGAATTAGTCACAGAAGACCATGTGTTGTATGATTTCATTCATATGAATTGTCAAAATTGGCAAATCTCTAAAGACAGAAAGCAGATTGGTGGTTGCCTAAGACTGAGGGTGATGGTGGGGAAAAATGAGGGTGACTGTTAAGTAAGTGGTATAGAATTTTTGCTTTGGGGTAATAGAAGTTTTCTAAAGTTTTTGTGGTGATGGTTGCCCCACTCTGTGAATATACCATCATGAGCTGCGTAACTACGTTTTGGTCAACAATGGACTGCATATATGGTCCCAGTAATTACAATAGAACTAAAAATGTTTCTATCATATCATATGTTTTCTATGTTTAGATATGTTTACACAGGCAAATACCATTGAGTTACAATTGCTTACCGTATTCACTACCGTAACTTGCTGTACAGGTTTGTAGCTTATGAGCAGTAAGATATACGGGGTAGCCTAGGTGTGTAGTAGCCTATACTATCCAGGTTTGTGGAAGTACATTTTATAATGTTCTCACAAGGATGAAATTGCTTAATGATGCATTTCTTAGAACATATCTGCATTAAGCAATGCATTATTATAACAAAATCTATTGAATTTTAAAATTTAAATTAATATATTGTATGGTATGTTAGTTTATTTCAAATATATACATATGTGTGTATATATATGTGCATATACATACACATATGTATACAAATACATATATATATATATATGTATATACACACACATTACTAGAAGGCCACTAGCATTTTTATAAACTATTGTATAAATTGCTGTATGATGGGTCATATGAGTTTCTTTAATCGTCGACAGTGTTCACAGTATAAGGATATAGTGACGGGTCATTTCTAGGTAGAATAAAGATGAGGGGTATGATCCAATTACTGCAAGGAATTTCAGTGATGATTATTTTCATAACAATTGGGATATGGCTTAATTCCTGAAATATACCTAAAATGTATATTTATTTGAAGTATACCTAAACAAATATCAGCTTCATATTATCTTGTGTCACTTTTTCTGAATTTAATGAACTACCTTACCTTGAATAAAAATCAGTAAGTGTATCAGAAATGAACCATTTGTTATATTTGTGTATAATAAGCCAAATTAATAAGCTCACTTTTATTCTCAAACATACAGAAGGCCTGGCCTTTCTTTCTGAGTTGCCAATTTAAGCCAAAAAATTATTTTATTGCTGGAATTTCTTGCAGTAATTGGACTACACTTTTCATCTTGATTCTACCTAGAAATGATCTGTCACTGTATCTACGTACTGTGAACACTGTAATAAAAAGAATTTATGTGAACCACCGTACAGCAATTTTTACATTTAGATAATTTATAAAAATGCCAGTGGCTCTTATTTCACAGTGTAGTTTGCAGCACTACAGAATAATTGCAACTCACAGAAAGATAATGAGCAATGGGAGCATTTAAGATACTTTTACATTAGCATAATTAACACAATTTTATTCAAAGTCTAGTTAGAATTTTAGAACATTCCTTAACTAACTTTACAGTAGTGTTCTCATCATTCAGTGTAGATTAACATAATCCTGATATTTTACCTTAGTAAGTGTAAGACACAGTTGTTCAGGAATTACAAAAGCACTCACTTCCTTATTGTTCCTACAAAGAAAAGAAAATAGTTAATTTGAAACAAGTAAAACACATTCATTTTTGTAACCTTAGAAACTAGCTTTATTTGTAATAGTGAAAGTATGTATTGAGATCATTAAGGTCATGCAAAAATTTGCAATGGACCCCAAATATTCTATAACGTAAAAAGATTTCCTCAATTTTGAGTTTCTTTAATGTGGTGTGTAAATAATTGAGCCTAGATATTTTGCACATTTGGTTAAAACACACACACAGAGAGACAGGGGAGAGAGAGAGACAGAGAGAGAGAGAGAGAGAGAGAGAGAGAGAGAGATAGAGAGAGAGAGATACTTCGGAGATATTGCAGGTTTGTTTCCAGAACACTGCAATAAAGTGAGTATTTCTTTTTTTTATTTTTATTTTTATTTTTTTGAGATGGAGTCTCACTCTGTCACCCAGGCTGGAGTGCAGTGGCACAATCTCGGCTCACTGCAAACTCCGCCTCCCGGGTTCACGCCATTCTCCTGCCTCAGCCTCCCAAGTAGCTGGGACTACAGGCACTCGCCACCACACCCGGCTAATTTTTTGTATTTTTAGTAGAGATGGGGTTTCACCTTGTTAGCCAGGATGGTCTCGATCTCCTGACCTTGTGATCCGCCCACCTCGGCCTCCCAAAGTGCTGGGATTACAGGCGTGAGCCACAGTGCCCGGCAATAAAGTGAATATTTCAATGAAACAAGTGCTATAGTTTAGATGTTTGACTTCTTGAAAATCTCACGTTGAAACCTGTACTCCATTGTTGGAGGTGGGGCTTAGTAGGAGGTGTTTGGATCACAGGGGTGGATCCCTCATGAATGGCTTGATGCCATTCTTACAGTAGTGAGTGAATTCTTGCTCTAATAGTTCCCTGAGGGATGCTGTTTCAAAGAGCCTGCAACCTCCTACCCTGCTCTCTTGCTTCCTCTTTTTCCATGTGTTTCGGCACCACATAGTAATGCTGCTCCCCTTTGCCTTCCACCACGAGTGGAAGTTTGACCTTCTCACATCCTCACAAGAAGTCAAGCAGAAGGATGCCAGGGCTATGCTTCTTGTACAGCCTGCAGAACCATGAGCGAAATACACCTCCTTTCTATACAAATTACCCAGACTCAGGTATTCCTTTATAGCAACATAGAGTAAGACAATGAGTCACACAATGTTTTTTTGGTGTCCCAGTACATACAAAAGTTATATTTATATTATACTATAGTTTATTAAGTGTGCAATAGTATATCTAAAAAACAATGTGCATATGTTAATTTTAAAATACTTTATTTTAAAAAGTGCTAATAATTATCTGTCCTTTAAATGAGTCCTAGTCTTTTTGCTGGTGGAGGGTCTCACCTCACTGTTAATGGCCGCTAACTTAAGAGTAAAGTTTACTGAAGATTGGGGTGGCTGTGGCAATTTCTTAAAATAAGACAAATTTTACCCATAGTAGAAATTCTTTTGAAATTGGAGTCAATACTTTCCAAAACTGCCACTGCTTTATAATTTAAGTTTACGTAATATTCTAAATCCTTTATTGTCATTTCAACAATGTTCACAGACTCTTCACCAGCAGTAGATTTCATGTCCAGAAACCACTTTCTTTCCTGATCCTTAAGAAGCAAGTCTTTCTTCATTTGAGTTTTATCATGATATTGCAGCAATTATTTATTGAAAATAAACTTCTTCCAAACTCCTGTTAATGTTGATGTTTTGATTTCCTCTCATGAATCAAAAATATTCTTAATATCGTCTAGAATGGTGAATCCATTACAGAGGTTTTCAATTTATTTTGCCCAGATTCATCAGAGGAATAACCATCGCTATACCTTTAGAAAATGTGTTTCTTAAATAGAAAGCCTTGAATATCAAATGACCTCTTGACACATGGGCGACGGAATAGATTTTGCGTTAGCAGGTATAAAAACAATATTAATCTCAGCCAGGAGCGGTGGCTCACACCTGTAATCCTACCATTTTGGGATGCCAAGGTGGGTGGATTGCCTGAGCTCAGGAGTTTGAGACCAGCCTGGGTAACATGGTGAAACCCCGTCTCTACTAAAATCCAAAAAAATTAGCCATGCGTGGCAGTGTGTGCCTGTAATCACAGCTACTTGGGAGGCTGAGGCAGGAGAATCGCTTGAACCCAGGAGGCAGAGGTTGCAGTGAGCTGAGATCACGCCATTGCACTCCAGCCTGGTTGACAGAGTGAGACTCCATCTCAAAATAATTATAATACTAAGAAGAATAAGAATAATATTAATCTCTTTGTATATCTCCTTCAGAGCTCTTGGGTGACCATATGTATAGTCAATGAGCAGTAATATTTTGAAAGCAATTTTAATCTAAGTAGTAGGTCTCAACAGTGGGCTTGACAATTTTGTAAGCCATGCTGTAAACATGGGCATGGTTATCTAGTCTTAGTTTCCATTTATAGAGCATAGGTAGAGTATAATTCTTAAGGGCCCTAGACTTTTCTAAATGGTAAATGAGCATTGACTTCTACTTAAAGTTAATGGCTGCATTAGCCTCTAACAAGAGAGTCATCCTGTCCTTTGAAGCTTTAAAGTCAGGCTTTGACTTCTCTTCTCTAGCTATGAAAATTCTAGATGGCATCTTCTTCCAATGTAAGGCTGTGTCATGTACATTAAAATCTATTTAGTGTAGTCATCTTCATCAGTGATCTTTGCTAGATCTTCTGGATAACTTGCTGCAGCTTCTACATCAGCACTTGCTGCTTCACCTTGCACTTTCATGCTATGGAGGCTTATCTTCTTAAACTTCATGAACCAACCTCTGCTAGCTTCAAATTTTTCTTCCGCAGCTTCCTCACCCCTCTCAGTCTTCATAAAATCGAAGGCAGTTAGGGCCTTTTAATGAATTAGGCTTTGGCTTAAGGGAATTCTGTGGCTGATTGATCTTCTATCCAAACCACTCTTAACTTTCTTCATATCAGCAATAAGGCCATTTGCTTTCTTATCATTTATGTGTTCACTGAAGTAGCACTTTTAATTACTTTCCAAAACTCTTCCTTTCTGTTCAAATCTTGGCTAACTTTACAACAAGAGGCCTAATTTCAGCCTCTATCTCAGCCTTCCACATACCTTCCTCACTAAGCTGAATAATGTCTAGCTTTTGATTTAAAGTGACAGATATGTGATTATTCCTTTCACTTGAAAATGTAGCAGTCATTGTAGGGTTATTAATTAGCCCTATTTTAATATTGTTGTCAATAGGGAGGCCTGAAGAGAGGGAGAGAGATGTGGGATTGTTGGGGCAGTTAGAACACACATATTTTTCTACTGAGTTTGCCGACTTGCATGGGAAAAGTTCATGGGGCCCCAAAACAATTACAATAGGAACATCAAAGATCCCTGATTGCAGATCACCATAACAAATATAATGATGATAAAAATATTTGAAATATTGTGAAAATTACCAAACTGTGACACAGAGACACAAAATGAGTACATGCTGTTGAAAAAAAAAGGCACAAATTATTTTGCTCATTGCAAAGTTGTTAGAAATATTTTATTTGTAAAAGGTACAATATTTGCAAAGTACAATAAATTAAATCATAATAAAATGAGGTACGCCTACATACATGCACGCACACACACACACACACGTATAAGGTTAAAGTTTTAGGGTAAAATTTATCAATAAATTACATGAGAATGACCTTTCATGTAACTTCATAATGACTATGGAAATTTACATGGTCCACATGGCATCTGCTTGTGAAATTAAATAAAAAACTATGGGAGGGGAGTGTTAGTGGATGAATCATGTCCCTCTAAAACTCATATTGAAGCTGAATTTCCTAGCACCTCAGAATGTGAAAATATTTGGAGACAGGGCCTACAGAGAGATTAATCTAACATGAGACTATTAAGTGGGCCCTATTATAATCTGACCAGTGTCTTTATAATAAGAGGAAATTCAGAAACACACAATCACACCAGAAATGCTTTTTCAGAGAAAAAAACCCATGTGAGAACACAAAGAGAAGACAGCCATCCACAAGCCAAGGAATGAAGCGTCAAAAGAATCTACACTTGTCAACATCATGATCTTGGGCACTCAGCCTCTGAACTATGAGAAAATAAATCTCTGCTGTTTAAGACACCTAGTTTGTGGTATTCTGTTCTGGCAGCCCTAGGAAACATACAGGAGATCTTTGCCGAAAAGTCACAAGATAATTTTGTTAACTTTAAATACTTAATGATTACTACATTTACCTATGCAGGAAAGGGGAGAGAATGTTTGAGTTTCTCATTTAAAATGTCATTTTTGTTGCAACATTTTACAAATACTCAATACAAACTTTATTTAAGCTGCTGTCAGTTGATAATACTCATCATCTATTTCCACTCCATTTTAAGATCACTCATGTGTTACTAAGAAGGCAACACTAAAACTCATATTTTAAGGATGTGCATGTAGCCAGGTAACTAGAAACAATTCAGACTCTACTTTCTTGAAGTAGTGGCATAAAATTCAAATGCAGAAGAGAAGAGGTGACATTTCAGTATCAGTGATAACTCACAGGTGATCTTTAGCAAATATAGAGTAGCAGCAGGCATAGTCTATGCTTCCTTACCTAGTCACAAACTTCATGAGTGTGGGTGGCTCTGTGATGACATCAGTGACAACAGTAGTTTTCTGGCCAGGGTCATGGCAGCAATGGTATGTCATTGTAGACAATGACAGTGACTTCCATCCCTCCAACTCCACCAGTGGTTTGACAAGCATGTAATTTCCTATGTTAAATGTATTTCTGCATTTAGTATGATTTTGGTTGTAGATTTGTTGCATATAGCTTTAACTATATTGAGTTCTGTTCTTCCAATACCTACTTTGTTGAGGGTTTTCATCATGAAGCCATGCTGAATTTTATTAAATGCTTTTTCTGCATCTACTGAGATGATCATTTGGTTTTATTTTTAATTTTGTTCATATGGTGAATCATGCTTATTGATTTGCATATGTTGTATATCCTTGCATCTCTGAAATAAAAGCCACTTGATCATGGTATATTATCTTTTTGATGTACTGTTGGATTCAGTTTGCTAGTATTTTGTTGAAAATGTTTGTATTTATGTTCATCAGAAATATTGGCCTGTAGTTTTTTTCATTGTTGTTGTGTCCTTGCCTGGCCTTGTTATCAGGGCAATAGTGGCTCCATAGAGTGAGTTAGGGAAGATTTCCTCCTTTTCGATGTTTGTGTGTGTGTGTGTGTGTGTGTGTGTGTGTGTGTGTATATGTGTGTGTGTGTTTAACAGTTTTTAGAGGACTGGTGCTAGTTCTTGTTTGACACCTGGTATAATTTGGCTGTGAATCTGTAAGGTCCTCGTTTTTTTGTTGTTGTTGATGTTGGAAAATTTTTTATTACTGATTCAATCTCACAGTTGATTGTTGGCCTGTTCAAAATTTCCTTTTCTTCCAGGTTCAATCTTGGGAGTTTGTATGTTTCCAGGAATGCATATATTTCTTCTAGTTTATCTAATTTGTGAGCACACAGAGGTTCACAGTAGTCTCTCATGATCTGTTGTATTTCTGTGGCATCAGTTTTAATTCTCCTTTTTCATTTCTGATCATGCCTATTTGAACCTCTTTTTTTTTTTGGTTAGTCTAGCTGGTGGTCTATTAATTTTGTTTACCTTTTCAAAGAATCAACTTTTAATTTCATTGATTCTTTGTATTTTTATCTCAATTGCATTAAGTTCTTCTCTGATTTTTTATTTCTTTTCTTCTAATAGCTTTGAGTTTGGTTTGCTACTTTCTTTTCTTTTCTAGTTTCTTGAGGTACCATAGTAAGTTGTTAATTTGTGATCTTTCTATCTTTTTAATGTAGGCATTTAATGCTATAAACTTTCTCCTTATCACTGCTTTTGCTGTATCCCAGAGGCTCTGATATGTTGTGCCTCTATTATCACTTGTTTCAAACAATTGAAATATCTGGAATGACTTCTGTTTCTTACACTGAACCATGAATTTGTTATATAATGTTGTGCTTAACACATGAAAAATTTTTACCAGCAAAGGATTAAAAAAATCATAACAAACAGTTTTGATAGTATCAAGCTAGACAAGGAAAAGGCAAAATATTTCAGCTTATCCTACCAGATACCCCGAGTCTTCCCTGAGCAGACTACAGATTCCCACCTGGTTTCCACATTAAACAGGCAAAATGCTTTCTGAATAAAACATTGCTAAAGACAGAGAGCAAAAATTAATAAACTAGGTTAAAGTTGAAAAATATATAGAAATAGATAGTGAACAATGTATTCCTTGATAATAAACAAAATAACACTAATAATGATTACAACAAGCAAATTTGCTTTATTGTTTACCTTGCTGGGGTCAGTTTATAAAAAGTTAACATGTGTGTTCTAATAGTCCATATTCACACTACTGATAAAGGTATACCCAAGACTAGGAAGAAAAAGAGGTTTAATTGGACTTACAGTTCCACATGGCTGGGGAGGCCTCAGAATCATGGCAGGAGGTGAAAGGCACTTCTTACATGGCAGCAGCAAGAAAAAATGAGGAAGAAGCAAAAGTGGAAATCCCTGATAAACCCATCAGATCTTGTGAGACTTACTTACTATCACGAGAATAGCATGGGAAAGACCAGCCCCTAAGATTTAATTCCTCCCCCTGGATCCCTCCCACAACAGGTGGGAATTCTAGGAGATACAATTCAAGTTGAGATTTGGGTGGGGACACAGCCAAACTATAGTATTCCAACCCTGGCCCCTCCTAATCTGTCTTCACATTTCAAAACCAACCATGCCTTTCCAGCAGTCCCTT
The DNA here is from genome assembly GCF_000001405.40 of Homo sapiens. Taxonomy (NCBI): domain Eukaryota; kingdom Metazoa; phylum Chordata; class Mammalia; order Primates; family Hominidae; genus Homo; species Homo sapiens. Next base: position 20,801,039 of record NC_000005.10, on the reverse strand, counting down.
AAAGTCTTAACTCACTTCAGCATAAACCCAAAAGTCCACAGTCCAAATTCTCATCCGAGACAAGGCAAGTAGCTTCAGCCTATGAGCCTGTAAACTCAAAAGCAATCTAGTTATTTCCTAGATACAATGGGGGTACAAGTATTGGGTAAATACAGCCATTCCAAGTGGGAGAAATTGGCCAAAACAAAGGGGTCACAGGGCCCATGCAAGACCAAAATCCAGTGGGGCAAATTTTAAATCTCCAAAATGATCTCTTTTGACTCCATGTGTCACACCCAGGTCATGCTGATGCAAAAGGTCAGTTTCCATGGTCTTAGGCAGCTCAGCCCCTGTGGCTTTGCAGGGTACAGCCTCTCTCCTGGCTGCCTTCATGGGCTGGTGTTGGGTGTTTGCAGCTTTTCCAACTGCACGGTGCTAGATCCATCATTCTGGGGTCTGGAGGATGGTGTCCCTCTTCTCACAGCTCAACTAGGCAGTGTCAATGTAGGGATTCTCTGTGGGGGCTCCAACCCCACATTTCCCTTCTGCATTGCCTAGAAGAAGTTCTATATGAGGGCCCCACCCCTGCAGTAAATATGTGCCTGGACATCCAGGCGTTTCCATTTATCTTCTGAAATCTAGGCAGAGGTTCTCAAACCTCAATTCTTGACTTCTGTGCACCTGCAGGCTCAACACCATGTGAAAGCTGCCAAGCCTTGGGGCTTCCATCCTCTGAAGCAAGCCCCTCTGAAGCCACAGCCCAAGCTCTATGTTGACCCCTTTCTGTCATGGCTAGAGCAGCTTGGGCACAGGGCATCAAGTCCCTAGGCCACAAACAGTACAGGGACCCTGGACTAGGCCCACAGAACCACTTTTGCCTCCTGGGTCTCGGGGCCTGTGATGGGAGGGGCTGCTGTGAAGGTCTCTGACACAGCCTGGAGACCTATTTCTCACGATATTGGGGATTAACATTAGGATCCTTGCTACTTACATAAATTTCTGCAGCCATCTTGATTTTCTTCTCAAAAAATGAGTTTTTCTTTTTCTACTGCATTGTCAGGCTGCAAGTTTTCTAAACTTTAATGCTCTGTTTCCCATTTAAAAGCAAATGCCTTTAACAGCACCCAAGTCACCTCTTGAATGCTTTGCAGCTTAGAAATTTCTTCTGCCCAATACCCTAAATCATCTCTCTCAAGTTCAGAGTTCCACAAATCTTTAAGGCAGGGGCAAAATGCTGCCAGTCTCTTTGCTAAAACCTAACAAGAGTCACCTTTGCTCCACTTCCCAAAAAGCTCCTCATCTCCATCCGAGACCACCTTTCATTGTCCATATCATTATCAGCATTTTGGTCAACGCCATTTAACAAGGCTCTAGGTTGTTCCATACTTTCCCACATTTTCCTGTCTTCTTCTGAGTACTCCAAACTGTCCCAACCTCTGTGTGTTACCCACTTCCAAAGTCACTTCCGCATTTTTGGGTATCATTTCAGCAACATCCCACTCTCAGTACCAATTTATTGTATTAGTCTGTTTTCACCTTGCTAATAAATATGCAGTGCATATTCCAGTATTTAAGAAAATGGGAATTATAGCTACAGCTGAGAGTTGAACACTGTTCAAAAAAGGCTCTTGGTACACTACTGGACTTTACTAAAAAACTGAGTCCTGAGAATGGAACATTGAGAGGCCAGGTAGGCAACATTCCAGTCATGAAGTAGTTATTATCCCACCACCAGAATTGGAAAGTTGCTATACTATGGGAACTGAATAATAGCCCTGAAAAGCAGCAGTGAGGAAAAAAAAATTTATATATATATATTTATATTTATATAATATATAATATATATAATTTATATATTACATATATTTTGTATTTTTATATATATATACACACATGTCTCACACATATGTTACCCACACACACACATAAATAATGTATACATATTACTTAATACACACATATATATGCAATTTACTTGAAAAAGAAAAAAACCACTGGGCCTATTTATTTAAGTTATCAAAATTAGCCAATTTGTACTGATATTCTTTCTTCATTTAATTAACTCAGTGAAGTTTAAGGATTAATTTTTATTTGTGATTTAAATATTCAAAATCTCCTCAGGAGTTTATAGAAAAAACTCAATGTAAGAGCAAAATTATTTTAGTAAGCCTTATTAATCATGAAATAATCTTATCCTTTTAAGGTGTTCAATTCCAGGATGAACTGATTAATGAAACACAGTAATAATGCCAGATATATTAATCAGTAAATTATAGTAATAAATTTAAGCATTTACAATAATATATCTTTCAATTAAAATAAGCAGGGTTTGTTGTTGTTTTTTAGCTTCATACAATTTAGAATAAACCAGTTTGAAATACATAGCCCCGAAGGTGTTTATTTTTCAGCATATTAAAATATTGTATTATTATAGTATTTTGTCAATGTTAGACATAGGAATGTAAATGATGCATAACAATATTAATGAAATAATTTTATGCCATCTCACCACACATCGAACCTAGACATCCCCAGTACACTTGAAACACACCTTCAAAAAGAAACAATGACAACCCAGTAGAAATGATAAAGTAATCAAATGATTGATTAGGCAACTTTAGTTTAGATAGTTTAGATGAGCCCTTGATAATCAATGCCAAAAAAAAGATGGAACTAGAAAATCACTAATTTATGTATTCAAAAGAAATAATGAAGTCAATTGATATGGTTTGGCTCTGTGTCCCCTCCCAAATCTTATCTCAAATTGTAATCCACACATGTTGGAGGAGGGGCCTGATGGGAGATAATTAGATCATGGTGGTGGATTTCTCCCTTCTTATTCTCATGATAGTGAATGAATTGTCATGAGATCTGATGGCCTTAAAGTGTGGCACTCCCCCTTGCTCTCTCTCTATCCTGCAGCTATGTAAGACATGCTACGTTTCCCTTTTAACTTCTGCCATCATTGTAAGTTTCCTGAGGCCTCCCCAGCCATATGGAACTGTAAGTCGATGAAACCTTTTTTTCTTTATAAATTACCCAGTCTCGGGTAACTGTGAAAACAGGCTAATATAGAAAATTGGTACCAAATTAGTGGGACATTTCTATAAAGATAACTGAGAATGTGGAAATGACATTGGAACTAGGTAACCAGTAGAGTTTGAAACAGCTTGGAGGGTTCAGAAGAAGACAGTAAGATGAGAAAAAGTTTGGAACTTCCTAGAGACTAGTTGAATGGTTTTGACCAAAATGCTGATAGTGATATTGACAATGAAGTCCAGGCTGAGGTAGCCTCAGATGGAGATGAGGAACTTGGTGGAAACTGGAGCAAAGGTGACTCTTGCTATGCTTTAGCAAAGAGACTGGTTAAGTTTGCCCCTGCCCTAGAGATGCGTGGAACTTTCAACTTGAGACAAATGATTTAGGATATCTGGCAGAAGAAATTTCTAAGCAGTAAAGCATTCAAGAGGTGGCCTGGCTTTTTCTAAAAGCACATCATCATGCACATTCACAAAAAGATGGTTTGAAATTTGAACTTATGTTTAAAAGGGGAGCAGAGCATATAAGTTTGGAAAATTTGCAGCCTGACCATGTGATAGAAGAGAAAAACCCAGATTTTTGGAAGAAATTCAAGCCAGCTGCAGAAATTTGCATAAGTGACAGGGAGCCAAAAGTTAATAGCCAAGACAATGGGGATAATATCTCCAGGGCATTTCAGAGATCTTTGAGGCAACCCCTCTCATCACAGATCTTGAGGCCTAGGAGGGAAATATGGTTTCTTGGGCTGAGGTGAAGGCCCTACTGCTCTGTGCAGTTTTGGGACAAGATATACTGCGTCCCAGCCACGCCAGCTCCAGCCATGGCTAAAAAGCGCCAAAGTACATCTAAGATCATTGCTTCAGAGGGTGCAAGCCCCAAGCCTTGGCAGGTTCCACATGGTGTTGGGCCTGCAGAAGTGCAGATAACAAGAATTGAGTTTTGTGAACCTCTGCATAGACTTCAGAGAATGTATGGAAATGCCTAGATGTCCAGGCAGAAGTCTGCTGCAAGGGCCCATGAAGAACCTCTATTAGGGCAGTGGAGATGGGAAATGTGGGGTTGGAGCCCCCACACAGAGTCCCCACTGGGGCGCTGCCTAGTGGAGCTGTGAGAAGAGGGCCACTGTGCTCCAGATTCCAGAATGGTAGATCCACTGACAACTTGCATCATGCACTTGGAAAAGCTGCAAGCACAAAACACCAACCCATGCAAGCAGCCATGGGCCTATTCCCTGCAGAGCCATAGGGGTGGAGTTGCCCAAAGCTTTGTGAGCCGGCCCCATGCCTCAGCATGCCCTGGAGGTAAGACGTGAAGTCAAATGGGATTATTTTGGAGTTTAAAGGTTTAATGACTACCCTGTTGGGTTTGAACTTGCATAGTGCATGTGGCCCCTTTGTTTTGTCCCAATTTCTCCCATTTGGAATGGGAACATTTACCTACCACTCTCTCAAGCCTCCTGTACAGGAGGTCCATTAGTGCCTCAGTTCTATTCAGCGTGGACCTGAAGGTGCTTCCCACCCCCAAGCCACCTGTCAGGGTGAGCTGAGAGATCAGCTGGGAAGAGCAGAGCCACTTATGGCCAAGAGGAATTGTTCTGGGGGTTGATTAGTAAGTAGGAGAGCGAAAGGGAAGAAGAAAACAATGTACCGGGATTGAACGTCTCCAGCTGAAGAAGAGGAGGCTTAGAGGTTTTTTACCGCTGGGGAACATATCCGAGTCACAGCACCAAAGTATGTTACCAGCAGTGAATCCACATGTGTCTGCAGCAACTTCAATTCTTGCCTCCTTAGAAGAAAGAATTTGACTGAGGAGCATAAGGCAAAAGGAGAGACAGAGGCAAGTTTTAGAGCAAAAGTGAGTTTTTTTTAAAAAGCTTTAGAGAAGTAAAGCACACTTGGAAGAGGGCCAAGCAGATGACTTGGGAGATCAAGTGCCCTGTTTGACCTTTGACTTGGGGTTTTATACACAGGCATACTACTATGATCTTGCATTCCTTCTCCCCTGATTCTTCCCTTTGGGGTGGGCTGTCCACATGTGCAGCGGCCTGCTAGCACTTGGGAGTTGAGCATGTGCAGTGTGTTTACTGGAGTTGTATGTATGCTCTTTTCAGGTGTTATTCCCTTACCAGCTGAATTTTCCTAGAAAGTCATATACCAGTTAAACTCTATCATTTTGCTTTTTAACATGCATGCTTGAGCACACTTGTCCAACTCCTGTGATCTTATCCGGAAGCTGCTGATTACCTGTTTCAGGTTTTGTCTCTCTGATGGGAGATTGCCTTTCGCTGGTGCCAGCTGCAACCAATTATTATTTTAGAGAGACACTTTAACAACCACCTGACCATGACCTGATGGTCACTTGACATTCCTGGTTGGGGGAGGGAGCCCTCCCTTACCCTGCTCATGCCTGACAAGCTACCTACTGTAACAAAATGATCTGTTTTTTCGAAAAGACAAATAATGAATTCATAACAAAATAAACATAGATAAACGAAGTTGTTATAGATTATAAAAGACTTACAAGACAACAATCAATTGCAATGTGTGACTTATGGATCATGATTTAAACCAATGGATTGTAAAAAATGAATTTTGAAATAAATTGGCACGTTTATTTTGGGTTACAGATGGCAGTAAGAAAATGTTGCAAATTTCCTTCTGTGTGATAATGACGGCAAAATTTAAAATAAATAATAAAACTGCAATATTTGAAAATGTAAAATATAAAATATTTAAACCATAGTAAATATTGAAACTATTTTCTCCTAGGCCCCTGGACCTGTGATGGGAGGTTCTGCCATGAAGACCTCTGGCATGCCCTGGAGACACTTTTCCCATATTCTTGGGAATTAAAATTTGGCTCCTCCTTACTTATGCAAATCTCTGCAGCTGGCTTTAATTTCTCCTCAGAAAATGAGTTTTTCTTTTTTATCACATTTCCAGGCTGCACATTTTCTGAACTTGTATGTCCTTCTTCCCTTATAAAACTGAATGCTTTTAACAGCACTCAAGTCACCTCTTGAACACTTTGCTGCTTAGAAATTTCTTTCACCAAATACCCTAAATCATCTCTCTCAAGTTCAAAGTTCCACAGATCTCTAGGGCAGGGGCAAAATGCCATCAGTCTCTTTGCTAAAACATAACAAGAGTCATCTTTGCTCCAGTTCCCAACAAGTTTCTCATCTCCATCTGATATCACCTCAGCCTGGATTCATTGTCCATATCATTGTAAGCAGGTTGGGGCAAAGCCATTCAACAAGTCTCTAGGGAGTTTCAAACTTTCCCAGATTTCCTTGTCTTCTTCTGAGCCCTCCCAACTGTTTCACCCTCTATCTGTTACCCAGGTCCAAAATTGCTTCCACATTTCCAAGTATCTTTTAAGCAACACCCCACTCTACTAGTACCAATTTGCTGTATTAATCTGTTCTCACACTGCTGATAAAGACATACCTGAGACTGGGCAATTTCCAAAAGAAAGAAAGTTAATTGGACTTACAGTTCCACATGGCTGGGAAGCCTCACTATCATGGCAGAAGGCAAGGAGGAGCAAGTCACATCTTACATTAATGGCGGCAGGCGAAGAGAGGAAACTTGTGCAGGGGAACTCATCTTTATAAAACCATCAGATCTCATGAGACTTATTCAGTGTCATGAGAACAGCATGGGAAAGACTTGCCCCCATGATTCAAGTACCCCCCACTGGGTCCCTCCCACAACATGTGGGAATTCAAGATGAGATTTGGATAGGGACACATTAAAACCATATCAGCATGACATCTAGGATTTTCTTTAAACATCTAGTCCAAGATGAAAAAAATGGAGAAGAATATGAAACAAATTTGGAGAATATGTTGATTATTCTTGAAGCTGGGAGCTAAATACATTAAACTGTTTGCTGTTTTATTTTTGTGTACATTTTTAAATGTTCATAATAATAATATTTTAATATATGCATGCAGTTGAACTATTGTAATGACTGAATGAACTAAAATCGTTCCTTATCTTATAAAATCTAAATATCTTCCTCAGTCACAACTTCACAGTCTTAACCATTCTCTATTTTTTCCTTTTTTTAATGAACGATTTACTTTTTTACTACATTCTTAAGAAAATTAGTGTCAATAGTATATTAACAAGACGATTTAGTTTATTCTGACAAACATATGCAGAAGTTTACTTTGTGCTATGAACTGCCAGATGCTGGAAATAACCTGTGTAAAAGATAAACTCTTCTTAGATTTTATTTCTTCTGGTACGTCTACTTGTGAATGTCAGAAATAGCCAACAAAATTGAATTCCTAGTGGTTTTTGCTTTATTCATGGCTCTTTTCAATTCACTTCACATTCATTTTAAGACATTTCTTACATCTAATATCTTGCCTTTTTAGGTTTTGTCTGATGATTTTATATTCTACAGCCTGAAAAACTAGAGCTTTATACTGTTTCTCCAACATTAATCTTGAATTTCTCCAACTGATAAAATGGATTTAACATAAAATCAATTGATCCTCATGCTAGCTGGTACTTCTCACCAGGTTAACTTAATTCTCATAAACAGAAATCAGAGAGCCCTCAAATATATATAGGTATATATATATATATATATATATATATATATATATAGAGAGAGAGAGAGAGAGAGAGAGAGAGAGAGAGAGAGAGAATTCAACATAATATTTGTATCTTTGTCTTTATGCAGAGATATTAAACAAATGCAAATTTCCATAAGCTTAGTTACATTATTTGTCATACATATCGTAAGTAGTAGTATGACCATGTTGTATTTGTTAAATGAGCTCAATAGTCTTTTTATGATATAATGCTGTATAATATAAGAAATGAGCTACTAATAATTACAAAAATACTGTTATCAAACTTGTGGTTTATAGAGTGTAATATTATATGTGAAAAGGCAGAACTCTTGGAAACATAGGTATGTCCTAGTTTATCTATGTCACAAATAACAATGAAATTCTTAATTATTTGATTAGTTAAAGATATCCATGCACAGTATCCCTTGCCGAACATGTAAGTTAAGTCATAGGTTAAATTTAATCCCCTGCAAATGTACTTGCCTCAAGTTAAGAAACACAGTAAACATCACCTGTGTGTACATCAACAAACTCCATTAACCTTTTCATTAGTTAGATTCACCCCTTGTTGCAAATCTGCTTCCTATAATTCATCCAGTCTGTAATTTATCACAAAACTCAGCCAAGCTCCATAACTGCCTACTTTCCACTGGAGAAAGCTTCAATTAAATACTAGTAAAATGCTAGTAGTTCCCATCGATCAATATTTCATTCAGGTTTCTGCTCAAATGACAAACTTAAAGGATTTCAGTGATGACTGTATCTAAAGTTGTGTATTTTTAGTAGAGATATTGAATTCTTACTTTTCTTCATTTACTTTTTCAACAGATCCCTTGCATGATATTAAATTATACATCTAGCATTTATTTATTTATTATCTGTATTTTCTACTAGTATAGATGGTCATTGAAGGCAGATATTTCTACTTTTTGTGCTATACTATCCCCTCTGTCACAAAAATGAATGTTGCATAATAGGGGCTACATAAACATTTGTTGAATGAACAAATTAATGAATGGCTATAGAGAGAAAGAAAATCTGTCCACTGACCTCAGATAACTATGACATGACATTTCTCTCATATTTTGTTAAGTCATAGTTTAAAATACTAAGATTATTAAATAAGAAACATTCTCAAATAAAGGGAATGGATACATTACGATGAGAACGAAGCAAAATCAAATCTTTTTTATTGTTTTTGTTTTTGTTTTTTTTTTTTTGGCTCTGTTTATTCCTTCCAAATCTTTAACTTAAATAATTTGAAATGTGTGAGGTTATATCATTGGTAGATATTCATACAGACATAGGTTAAGCAAAATTGAATAGGTAGCATATTCACAATCAGAAATAGAAACTCTTATATTCATGCACCATTGCATTGCTGTTTTTCCAAATAATAATGCAAAAATTCAAATAACAATAATGTTACTGAAGAATATTAGAGTCACATAGAACAGAGGTATCGCATGGCAGAAAGACCCAGGCTTCAGCTCCATCTGTGTATAAGGTGATCAAGTAATATAATTTCTCTATCTTTAAATTTATTTCTTAATATATCAGAAATATAGTAGGTTTGTCAAAGGATGAAATGAGATAATTAACAGAAAGTACTTGTGAAAGAGACTGGTGGCTACTATCCAAAATGTATGATCTCCCGTTCTTATTGGATACACAGCTAGCCTACATTCCAGCCACAGTCATCCCAAATGATGAACTCCACTTCAAGACCTGGTTCATAACCTCTCACTTGCACTCATTTCTTCTTCTATCTTGTTGGAGTAAAAAAGACATGAGCACGAGACTAATTTTCCGGCCACTTCTGTCAGTATGAATCCCTGAATAACCACGTGGAGAAGGGCAGTCCTGCCAATCTATTCCACTCAACCAGTCATAATTTGAGCCATAAATAAACTTAAAATAATTTCAGCTTTGCTTTATGTTACAAAAAATGGTTTTTTGGGGGCAGAGAGTAAATTCTCTTAACATAAAACTTATAAAACTATGACATATTTAATATAGTAAATACCTCAACATACTATGCAGTTTTTATTAAATTGTCTGAATAACTAGTAAGCAATTACTTATTTCATGGGTAGAGTTTATGCCATAAAAAGATTTGCAAATAGCAGTATTGAATTGATTTTTAGAAACCTCAAAAAATTCTATATTATTAAATGTACCATTATGTACTACATAGAGTTTATATTGAAAGTGAAAACTCATTGATAAGTGAATTTTTGGTGATTAACCAAAATTAGGTGATTAGGTTTACTTGTTAAGTGATGATTTCAGGAGGAAATGGGGATCAGGCAGCATGGTAGCATTGACTTATTAACTAAATTTAGGTTTTCTGGAAATAACCTCAGTTCTTCATGCCTAAAGAAACTGAAACACTGTAAGCAATTTATTTTAGGCTAAAATGCGGTATTCATTCCAGTAAAGTCGCCCTCAATCTTTTGCAAGACTGTCAGATGGTGTTGTGCCCTTCAAATAACTTCAGAGGCTCAAAGTCATGGGCTGTTAACAAATTTATCAATAAGCATTAGCTATCGTAAATACATTTAGAGCAAAATGAAATTGTGGATATTCAATTATATAGCAATCAACTTTGTTGATTTGTTTTAATTCTTGAAAGACAGCCCCAACTTTAACAGATTAACAACATACCATCTGTATCTAAGCTTGACACTAATTGCCGGTAAACCAAACTTTAAAGCTTATTTTCCAAACCTGCATATTATGCAGCTTGTAATCAAATTTAAGGTGGTCATTTTCTTGAAACTTTCAACCCTATAAGTGAGATAAACCTTATCATTTTCTCCTTAGATTTTATCCCTTTGGGATTTTGAACTGCAATTGATAATCAACTTATTATTTTGTGTGTTTAAGCTATCTAAACTTTTTTGATTATGTATACGTATATACTAGAACTATTTCATCAAAAAGAATTAATATATCAAACAAATTAATAGATTTTTTCCCACTATTAGTATTTCTTTAATGACTCATTATTTCCATAAATAACCTTGGATTTCCTCATAAAAACTAAGATGGCATAATGAATTATTTCCGTATTATATTGCTGTTGAGAGGAGGCTATATTCCACCAGAAACTGAAAAAAAAATTCTGTACAATGTACAGCCATTGAGGAAGATTAGGCATATCGTTTTTAAAATAAACTTTAAATAATAGATTAAAGGAGCTTAGGATGATAGAACAAGTTTTACCATCCTCTGGGATGGCAGATGTCACCTTCAGCCAGGGGTGCTCTAATCTATAATAGCATCAGTGATCATCTACTGAGTGCTGAATTAGGGAAAAGCAAGATTCAAACCTTAAAAGAAGAAAGAAATATTGCTGAGAAAAGAAGATGTGGGAATGCTGAAGTTCTAGGCCATTGGAATAGAACTGTTCCAAGCTGAAGTTCCAGGCCATTGGAATAGAATTAGAAATTACCGGGAAAGAAACGGAGTTCACAAGAAGGGATGCAAAGCTATTGTGATATTACTTTGTAGATTCTCTACTTTCCATTGCTGGGGATGACCAACGTGTCTTCAATCTTGATTTGGAAGAATTCCTGGCCAGAAACTAGTTTACAGCATTTCCTCTAAACTTTTGATAAGAAAGATTGATTATAATTAAAGATTTATATCAGTTACTCAGTTTCCATTTTTAACAAGTAAATGGAGAATGATAGTTACAATTCACTTGTTGTGAATTATTATTATTTTGCTGGGGGAATGGGGTCTCCCTTTGTTGCCCAAGCTGGTTTTGAACTCCTGAACTCTAGTGATTCTCCTGCCTAGGCCTTCCAAAGACCTGGAATTAAAAGCATGAGCCACCACACACAGCTGTGAACTAATTTTATCTGTTTACATCTGTAAGAGTTCCTTGCAAAAAAATAAAACAGTACCTAGCAGAAAATTAAAAAAGAAAGAGAAAGAAAGAAAGAAAGAAAGAAAGAAAGAAAGAAAGAAAGAAAGAAAGAAAGAAAGAAAAAGAAAACAGAAATGTACCCAGCAAAATGTGAATGTGAGGCTCAGCAAATGATGGATCATTTGTAGAATATAGAGGTTTCCAGTGGAGGAAAAGCGGAACAGGTAAGGCAGAAATGTCAGTAGAAATTCTACAGTAATTCACCAGACATATGCTGAGAAGAAGCACTTCATGGAGGTTACTGGGTTTCAGATCGCAAGGAAAGGTGAGGAGCTAGAAACTAAATATTATATGAAAATCATGAGACTTAATTTCGGGTAAAGTAAAAGGACAATATTAATCTTGAAGGTATTCTTTTTTCAATATCAAATGTACAAGTCCTGGTTGTTGCAAATTTTTTTCTGTGCATGTGGAGTCGAAAAATTCAAATTTTGTAATTATTACACTAACATCTTTATTACGTTTCTCAACCTCTCTGTCTTGTTTATTTTTCATGTCATAAAGCAAGTTATGAATATTCATTATAACGTTTTATTATTTAGACATTTGTTACTGAGAATACTAAAAAACATTGAAATCTATTCTAAGACTTGGATTACATTTTTTTCTGTAATGTATTAATTAGATTCCAGTTGGTGATGGCTTTCCCAGATTAAAAATGGTTTTACTGAATTACTTATGCCAGAGAAATACCATAAAAATGTAATTGTGGCCAGGCGCGGTGACTCACGCCTGTAATCCCAGCACTTTGGGAGGCCGTGGCGGGTGGATCACGAAGTCAGGAGACCGAGACCATCCTGGCTAACACGGTGAAACCCCGTCTCTACTAAAAATTCAAAACATTAGCCAGGTGTGGTGGTGGGCGCCTGTAGTCCCAGCTACTAGGGAAGCTGAGGCAGGAGAATGGCGTGAACCTGGGAGGTGGAGCTTGCAGTAAGCCAAGATGGCGCCACTGCACTCAAGCCTGGGCGACAGAGCGAGACTCCGTCTCAAAAAAAAAAAAAAAAAAAGTAATTGTATGTGTGTTAATGAAACATGATACATATTTTCAATTGTCCATGAATAATGCATTTATAAATTTTGGGTTAAACAGCCTCATTGTCTAAAGACAATAACAACATAGTAATTAAGCAGGTGAGTGAAGATTATGCGTTTAAATGTCTAGATATTTTATATAAAACGGACAAAGAAAGATTCAATTTTATATAAAAAGAACAAATCACCTTCAACACACATTCTCCAGACTACACAGAATTTCTCAGACAAGAGCAAAATTTATGAACACAAGAAATTATTCTTTTGTATAATATTGTTGGCAATTGCAGCCTGATTAACTAAACTCAATTATTCCTTCACAATGTATTTTATTCTCTAGCTCCCCAAATAAAATTGTAACGACATGCATGTTTCTAAGCAAAGCTCAGAAAGTAGTGCATATTTTTGACTCTCATTTGAATCTATTATATTTTTCACAGAACGTGCCCCTTTCACCTAAAACGTGTCCTGATTTTCCAAAAGTATATTTGAGAAAATTATGGATTTTCCTTGAAACAAGTGAAATCGTATGCTTCAAAAATCAGATCATCAGTTGATTCCTATAACCAGGACTTACCTTATTTCTCTCATTCAATCATTTTTTTGATTTATTAGTTCGATAAATTGGCACACTATGAGAAACAATAGTGATTGTCAAACATCCAATATTATGTAGTAAGTAGCATTTATTGAATTCTTACTATGCCCTAGTTGCAATGCTAATTTTGTGATATTTCCTAATCAATTTAATACTCAAAACAAACCATCAGATATTATTACTGTACTGGTGAGAAAACAGAGGTGCAGAAATCAATAAATCATGTCTTTAAATTGAATTCACGTGTCTACAAGAAAGATAAGAGCAGCCCCTGTTAGCCTGGAGCAGGAACCCAGTTAGGTCTTGTCGTTATGCTGAATGCAAACAATTTGAGAAAGAATCAACATCAGACAAGGCCATTGCGGGACTGTAGTAAATAAGACAAAAACAAGGCCACTTCATATTCATGTCTAAACACAGACAAAACTTGACAATTGTCTAAGCCACAAAATAGCAAACATTTCTCTACATCGGCTAATATAAGTGTCTGCTGTTTCCTTCCCAAATAAACCTGGAGCTTCAACCTTGTCATCTCTCCTTCTTGGTAAGATTTATTTAAAAATGCAATCATATAACTACTCTCACACTCAGTTTCTCCCACTCTAAGTCCAAAGCAAAGCCCCACTTTGTTAACCCCAAAATCACGTAAAGCAAATGCTCTTAGTTTGCTAACACCCTCTTACAGAGCTGTTTCAGGGTTCCGCATGCTGGACATTCTTTCTTACTGCACTGATTAATAAAACAACTATTTCAACTGTAAGTGTGTTCCTGGTTGTCCCTGGCTGGAAGGCACTAAGAATATGATACCAGGAGCCAGGAATCACTTTTCTAATCCATTTGAGATATTGAAAAAGAGAAAGAGAGAGAAAAAAAATAAAATAAAATATGATGGCAAAGCATAAATTATACAAGAAAAAAAGGTGTCTTGAGACTGTTGGAAAGCTGGAGGAATTGTAGGCTATTTGAAAGTGTATATTTGGATTTCTAAAATAGACTTATTATTCATGTAATTGTTTGTCTGCATTCAATTTAAACCTGTACATACATTAAAAGGTTTCAAATTTCAAAATATGTGTAATTTTAAAATTAGAAAAAAAGAATCAGAAAACTAGTTAGCATGCAAGAATACAGTGGATCCATTATCTTAAGTTTCCATAACTGTGTCATTATATTAGCCTTTTAAACAAAAAATACCTTCTCCATATTTTGTTAGATATGGATATGCATGGATGAAAAAATACTCATGTTTGGTATTCTAAGGAACTATAGCTGACCCTGTTTAGTTCTCTGGAATAATTAGAATTATATCTAGTCTACCATCAAAACTAGTGTCTAGGAAATAAAGAGGCAAATATAATTCACAAGAGTTAAAAATAAAGATCCTACCGGTAAATACTGCAATTTATATTTTCTGGTCATTCATGAGCTTAATGATGTATTATATTTGAGTCTAGCAGAACTGAGTATTAACAGAGTTGAAGTACATGGAAAGAAAAAGAATAGAGATGATATATTAAGCATTATTTAACCCAATGTGAATTATGAGTCTTCAATTTGATAGCATAAGAGGAAGAATTACATTAAATCATACACCTACTATAATAAATAGGAAATGACAAATGTTAGAGAGGATGCAGAGGGATGGGAAACTCTACTGTTGGTAGGAAATTAAAAGGGTGCAGCCACTGTGAAAAAATGGAATGGAAATATCTAAAAAAATGAACACTAGAATTACTCTATGAACCACAAATTTCACTTCTGGGGATATATTTTAAAAAAATGAAATGCAGAGTCTCAAAGAGAGAATTGTGCACCCATGTTCATAACAGCATTGTTTACGACAGCCAAAAGATGGAAGGATCCCCAGGTGTCACACAGTCAATGAATGGATAAACAATTACGGGGTGTGTGTGTGTGTGTGTGTGTGTGTGTGTGTATACACACACACACACACAGTGGAATATTCATCAGCCTTAAAAAGGACAAGAATTTTGACACAAGTTGGAATATGAGTGAAACCTAAAGACATTGTACTAAATGAAATAAATCAGTCACAAAAAGACAAATACTGAATGATTACACATGTATGAGGTAGCTAGAGTCATCAGAATCATATAGACAGAAAGTAGAAAGTTGGCTGTCAGTGACCGTATGCAGTAGAGAATTGTATGGGGTTGCTGTTTAATAGGTATAGTGTTTCATTTTGCAAGAAGAGCCCTAGAGATTAATGACGGTGATGCTCACACAACAATGTGAATGTACTTAATACTACCAAACTGTACATTTAAAAATGATGAAATGGTAAGTTTTATTTTAGGTGTATTTTACCACAATTAATTTTTTTTAATTTTAATGATCATTTAGAAAATACCTAGTGCTTAATGAGCCAAGCTATATGAAACTATTAAACATAAAAGCAAAAAGTCCTTTAAACCTTTCTTTTCTTAAAGTCATCTTATTATTTTGCAGAATGATCCAGTAATATGTGTATATAAATGTTTTTGCTGTACAGATTACATACGCATCTAGTATCAGAGTGCAGACAGTAACATCTCAGTTATATGGAAAACTTGGCTCTCCAATAAAATTTGGGTCACAGAATTTCAGAGTGGCAGAGGCTTGACTCAATTATTTAAATTTCAGTGGCATCTAGGAGCTACAGATTTCAAGGACATGTATGTTCAGAAAAACATCACTTTTAACAAAACACAAACTCATCATTTCAGGATCAGCTACTCTGACATTTGTCTTGGTAATAAAAACAACTAACTTCTGTAGTGACATTTTCTTAAAGTTGCTATCAACTATGATGGTCCGCTTTCACTATGACACATCCCAATCATATTGGGCATTCCCGTGTTGACCTTGGCATAGTTGGTCCTGAGAACTACTTAGCACTCTCAGGTTACGAGCTAGTCAGTGAGATCACACAGGGTTATGAGAGCCAAACATGATTTATGGCAAGATTCACATACTGTGATGCCTTAACAGGCAGGATAGGTAACTTAAACGAGGGAAGGTGGCTGGCAATGGGGTCATGCAATGTCTTATTTTAACAAGCTGGTATAACGCCACACAGGAATATTCTTTTTTTTTTTTTTTTGAGACGGAGTCTCGCTCTGTGGCCCAGATGGGAGTGCAATGGCGCGATCTCGGCTCACTGCAAGCTCCGCCTCCCGGGTTCACGCCATTCTCCTGCCTCAGCCTCCCGAGTAGCTGGGACTACAGGCGCCCGCCATCACGCCCGGCTAATTTTTTTTTGTATTTTTAGTAGAGACGGGGTTTCACCGTGTTAGTCAGGATGGTCTCGATCTCCTGACCTCGTGATCCGCCCGCCTCGGCCTCCCAAAGTGCTGGGATTACAGGCGTGAGCCACCGCGCCCGGCCAGGAATATTCTTCAGTTAAACTAAGAAATATACTTTTTTGTTGTTGTTTTTCTCTCAAAATGCATGGCTCTTTGGGTTCCCTATTACTATTGTAACAGTGGCTAACAATAGAGAAGAAATATTTTTCTTTCCTTTTAATGTTACACAGCCGCAGCTGTTTTGCAATGATTAATTTAAAATCAGACTTTAAGAAGTAGAACATCTGGCTTCCTATGTAAGATCTTCAGGTTGTTAAATGTTGCTAATAATTATTTTTTTAACCCTGAGTAATTCTGTAAGCCAAATGACAACTTTGTGACCCTTAATCTATGCCCTTTTTACTAAATTGTTGATTTTCAAAATGAAACACATTAAACAACAACAACAAAACACTGTTGAGTCCCATCAGTTCTACAAAACAGTTCTATAATCTATGCATTATTTTGTACACTATTTATTTGTGACAAATGTCTATAAGTTTTGCTGACCCATTTGTTCATGAAAGGCAAAACCTGGAATTAAAAAAATCTTAAGTTTTCTTAAAAATATATAACATTTTCTTTACATTTTTGAAAATAATTCTTTAAAAGTTTAAGTATATAAACAATAGAAAAATAATGTAATGACTATTATGACTAATAGTAAGAGATACTAACTCTGTAGTATCTCTTCCATTTTAAATAACTCTGAAGTAAGGAGAAACTGGGAGAGGCTGACTTGAAAATAAGTGTCTAAAGACTGTCCCCTGACAGTGAAACTTTTAGATAAGCCCATCATGGAGCTGATAATAGCTAAGCAGCCACCTCAAGAGCAGAGGGCTCCCAGGCCAGCAGGACGTGACGTTAACCTGGTTGCAACTATTAACACCTCTAAAAAAAAGAATGTGTTACTCAGAAGGGGGATTATCCAAATACAAAAGTGCAAAATAGAGAGGACTGCAGCATTAAATATTACATAAGTGCCTTTAACCTCTTTCCAAGAGAGCAGGTGCTCAGATACTGACCATGGACTTATTTTTTTTATTTAGTCGGAATGTTAAAGCTATACCTAATGTAAAGATAAATGCTTTATGTGACAGAATTGGTTGCCTGCTTACCCAATGTGCCCTGGTTGATGTCTGTGATGTGAATTGGTGGGACCCTATCCCCTGCCATTGTATTGGGCGTGCTGCTAATGCATGAGCTGCTATAACATGAATTTTGTTTTTATTTGGTTTGACCAAGGCCCAGTCGTTCCCCTGTTCATTTGCCTCCACCGGATACCCAGCAGTGATAATCCACTTGTGTTAGTAAATTTTCCCACTGCTGTAAAGACACTGAGACTGGGTCATTTGAAAACAAAGGAGGTTTAATTGATTCACAGTTCCACATGTCTTGGGAGGCCTCAGGAAACTTACAATCGTGGCGGAAGGGGAAGCAGGCACCTCCTTCACAAGGCAGGAGGAGAGAAGGAGAACAGGAGAAACTGCCACTTATAAAACCATCAGATCTTGTGGGAACTCACTCACTATCATGAAAAATAGCATGGGAGAAACCGCCTCCATGATCCAATCACCTCCCACCAGGTTTCTCCCCTGACACTTGGGGATTACAATTTTGATTACGATTTGAGATAAGATTTGGGTGGGGACACAGACGCACCATATCACCACCTATCTCCAAACTGGGTCAGTTATCCTATAGATTTCAGCTATAGAACTGTAGGCACTCCCCTCTGTTTGTCCCACCTTGTAAACCTTCTTGTGGGCTTGCCTTCCACCACCAGCTATAGCCACATTTCCCCAAAATGCAGGACGAGTCCTAGATTCTTTATATCACCCATGTGCTGAGAATGGCTGGGAAGTGCTAACTTCCTCCCTTTCTGCCTTCCCAGATTGTTGCTGAACACCCTGT
Source organism: Homo sapiens (assembly GCF_000001405.40). Classification (NCBI taxonomy): domain Eukaryota; kingdom Metazoa; phylum Chordata; class Mammalia; order Primates; family Hominidae; genus Homo; species Homo sapiens. The sequence goes on along the minus strand of NC_000005.10, from coordinate 20,782,602 downwards.
GAGATCATCATCTCCTTCTGCCCCAAATAGAAACGGAAACAAATGGCCCTTTTCCATCTGCGTTCATCTATTATTTTTTCACACTCTAACAACACTTGGTTTTGTGGCCTTCCCTACATTTGCATATCATTTTCTTCCAAAAATTCCTCAGCCTTGGAGAAGTTGGTATTCCACTATATTTAGAACATAAAAAAATAAAAACACATAAACTAATGAAAAACACTGTGATCTAAGCCACCAAGCTTGACTTTTGATATACAAACTAGGAGCTAATGGGGTCTAAAAAATTATTACATCTCTGAAAAAATCCTCAATTCTAAATCCTAGAAACTACAAGACATGGAATTCTATCTTTTTATTTCTCAGAAAACAGTCCTCACCTACTATCTTCCAATCACTAAGGAGATGATTATGTACATAAAAGTGAATTGGGGGGACTGCTGGATCATATGGTCATTCTATTTTCAATTTTTTGAGAAACTCATATTTTTTTCATAGTGGTTTCACCCATTCGCATTCCTACCAACAGTGTCCCAGGGTTCTCTTTTTCCACATCTTCCTAATATTTGTTATCTTTGTTTTTTTTATTAATAGCCATTCTAGCTGGAGTGAGTTGACAGCAAATTAAATGTTTATCAAATGAATGGATTAAAAAACATGGTATATGCATACAATAAAATATTCTTCAGCGTTAAAAAATAAGTAAATCCTGCCATTTGGGATAACACGGATGAACTTGGAGGACATTATGCTGGTGAAATAAGCCAGACACAGACAGACAAAATCTACACAATATCAATTATATGATAAGTCTGAGTCAAAATCATAGAAGCAGATAGTAAAAGGCACTTGCCAGGGACTCAGGGAGAAGGAAATGGGGAGGTGCCAGTCAAAGGGTACAAAGTTATAAACAAGATGAATAAGTCCTAGAGTTCTACTGTTTAGCATATTGCTTGTAGTTAACAATACTTTTTACATACTTAAAAATTTGCTAAAAGTGTAGATCCTATGTTGTGTTCTTATTACAAAAATAATAAATAAACAAGAAAATAAGAAACTTTTAGAGGAGATGAGTAAGTGCATGGCATAGATTGTGGCGATGGTTTCACAATTGTGTACGTAGCTCCAAATTCATCACGTTGTATACATTTAACTATGTGCAGTTTTTTGTATGCCAATCAAGCCTCGATAAAGCAGTTCTTTTTTTTAAAGTGTAGAAGAAAAAATACATCACATATTTTAAAATGCTACTTTCATTAATAATTTTGAATGCTATGTAATTTATATATATATTCAACTTTACAATAAGTAACACTATAAACCATTTAGCATGCACAATTATCTGTGCAAAGTGATGCACATAATAACTCAGTTAATCTTCATTATTAGGATCTCAGGATTAGAGATGAAAAGACAATGTTTCAGACAAGTGAATTGTTTTGCCCAAGATCGAAGAGCTACTAAGTGTAAAACTGGTATTTAATGCCAACGAGTTTAGCTCCAGAGCCTGTGCTGTTAAACATTTTTTAATATGTAGCATTTATATTCACACTGATCCAATATGTACCTGTTAAATCTTTCCCATGGAAAAACACTTTGCTAGATGCATGTGCTACTATACCTCTAAAGTTAATTTAACAGGCAGTCAAGGAGCAGTTAAAGAGTAGTGATGAGACATAAATAAATACATTTTACAGGCAGCCTATGAATAGTCCCCAGAGAGCTATAGATATATCAAAAAATGCATTTCTTTCTTCTTTTGATTTATGTTTTCTTCCTTCTTTCATTTTAGAATATACTTTCATATATTTGACCTGTGAAAAATTCACGATTCTTGTCCTCTTTCGTTAACAGCAGAGGGAGAGACAGAATGTGCTGACATCAACATGTCCACACACTTGGAGCTATCAAAATGTTCTGCTTCACTGTGTGGACAATTGACACCATCAGTCCCTCCTCAACACACGTCTCAAGAAAATGAACATTCCCCATTTTCTAGTCTTCTTTTCCCTTTGTTGACACCCAAACTGGAGATCAAATGGTCAATACGCTGAGTGAATGAAACCTTTCTGTAGATCAGTCAGCTACAGTTATTAAAAGCACAGTTTCCCTGGGGTCAAATCCTCAACCTGCCTCTTTCCTTTTGTGATTGTGGGGAAGCTGCCTAAACTCTCTATGCTACAGTCTTCGAATCTTTGAACGAGGTTGGTAAAAACGCTCTGTGATTGGTTATAAAGATGAGGAAGATTTACTTATATACAGTAGGCACAGTGCCTAAAACAGAATAGGTATGTTATTATTATCCTTTTATGACTATAAAAAAATGAACTTCCAATAATGAAATTATTGACAAAACTTACCGTATACCCAGGAAATACACTAGTGTGATTCTATTATAATAATAATGCATTTGCAAAGAAATAAACTGAACATCTATTTATATTCAAGTAAAGAAACATTTCTTAAAGAAGCAAAGTTCCAATTTTGAATCCAAAATTCTGAATGACATTTTTCCTTTTATATATCATCATCTTACTCAACACTGATCTGTCAGTGCAATCTGTTTCTCCATGAAATGTTTCTAACTTACTGACATGATTAATTATTTATATTTTGGCAACAAAAATTTGAATCAACAGAGAATAAAAAATGTAGGTGATCGCCCCAAAATAAGCTATCAAGTAGATTAAATTTCAATTAATAAATGCCAATGGTAAATGTTTACAGAGGTTTGAATTAAAGTAGAAAGAAAAAAAAACAGAGGGGAATTTAACTGCAAGATGTTTTATGAGCCTAACTTTCTCTAGTGAAGCATTTTTTCTGGATTTAATTGTTTATTTATAATGATAAGTCATGCATTTAGTTCCTAGGATGCTAGCTTTAATGAAGCAATATAATAATAAAATATTTTCAAAATTATTCAGGAAGTACACCTAAGTATTGAAACATATCATAGTATTTTTGATATCCTAAATAATTTTCAATTAGTGATAAAAAGCATAAGTAGAATAAAATATTAAGGGTTAATAATTCAGAAATAATTAATTTTAGTTGAGCAAAATAAATTGTCATACGGCTTTTGCTATGTCCCAAAATTGATTTTTTCCCCCAAGTAGAAATTTGAGCAACCTTGACCTTTTATAAGGGACACATTTTTACAGACATACAACTCCTCCATCTGTTTCCACATTCAATATTAATTTTTGTCTTTGCAATCATTACATTGCAATGCAAGGAAATAGCAGATATAAATGAGATGTTGCTTTGCTCTGGCCCACTAAATCATGATTCAAGGTAACATTCAGGTGACATTACAAGTTGTCAGAACAGCAATGTGCCATACTGTAGAAAGGGAAAAAATGTGTGAAGGATGTTTATTTCCCCATCCAATATAAGTGACAAGGTTGAAATGAGAATGTTGTGTGTCCCTGAAAATATATCACCATTTAAATAATTCTATTATTAGGCACAGTGGAAGCTCTATCTTGGAGAAGCCTCCCATACTGTGAGTAATTATCACAATCTAGCATGCTAATTGCTTTTCGATCTACAGGCTGTGCTTTCAATGAGTCTTGTTGAGCATTATTGGGCTGTACCTACACTACCATTTAATGAGAGCAGACTTTATCAAAGGACAGCATCGTCTCTGACTATTGAATCGATGCGAAGGCATTATCCCAGGGTTTAAAGTTTGGAAACATTCTGGTCAACAGACTTCTGTTCAAGTACTGTAGATTTCAGGATCATGCCTAGAAAACATCGCATTTCCCAAGTCTATTAATAACCTGCGTCTGAAACACCTGAGGAAGCAACAGACAAGGGTCAGCCAGTGTCTTCTTTCTGTTCAAAGTAGATGTAAACATAATTATACAGCAAATGAGCTTCAATGTGCAATGAGACATTTTAGATAACTGAGTTAGAATGTTAAGTTTCATGAAATTATTCACTTATGTGTATATGAATACATATGTACATATGTTTCATAGTGTGCAAACCTTTGGGCTTTGTGTGCTGTACAGTGTGTGAATATAATACTATTGTACAAATGTGGAATTATTTCATATTTTTATAGTAAACTAGCAGATATTGAAACAAAATAAAAGATAACCAAATTTGCTAAGGTGATCTAGTAAGTGACAAAGACAAGGTTCAAATTCATGCCTGTATGGCTTCAGCATACATACCTAATATACACATTTTTTAAATGACTATAGAAATGTATATTTACATTAAAATATCCAACCAATAGGGAATTATATAAAAGAGTGGATCTCCAATATAGCAGACCCAATGGCTCATTTTATAATGAATATTTAAAGTGTTTCCTTTAACATGCCACAATTCAGTTTAGACAGAATAATCTGCCTTGACACTTAATTAGTAAAGGCGATTTAATCCTGCCGTTTACATAGAAGAATAAATTAAAAACTACAATACAACACCTATTTTAATATGTAAATCTTCAAGTACAGTAAGACAGGAGCTATGGTAAAGTAAACACATGCCACGTAGAATCAGCACTAGCACAGCAGCTTAAATCAAAAGCAAAATTGGATACAGTTTGTAATCTTACCTTGATTTATCAGGTAATGCATTTGTAAGAAAAAAAAATCCAGTGTATATGAAAACTAGATGATTTCAGGAAACAGACCATATTTATATTGTTTAAAAAGCAGATTTATGTATAAATAGATTTTTCAACTACATGAATGTACAAAAAGACATTCTGCTAATTTTGCAGTGCTCAAGAACATTCTTTTATGTTGGGAACTGCTTGGTCTCCAATGGAGACTAAATGCCGGTAGTAATTCCCATTCATTAGGACAACAAACCTCTTCCATTTCCAAAACATTTTATAAAGTATTGTGCATTATTTCATTTACAATCATACATACATGTTTATGTATGTGTATATTTGTACATGTGTACATGTTACAATACAGATGAAGTCATTATATTCAAATTGTTCCATCACAATATTTTCACTAAATATATTTCAAAGAAGTTTCCAATTCTCTAATACTTGTAAATTGGTTTCACTATTTTAAACCTCTGGGCAGTGTTGCATGGAACGTATTGCCATAGTTATCTAGCCATTCCGCTATTGCTACATACACTATTTTTATCTTTCTAAAAGTCAGGGTCTTACCCTCACTTTAAGACTGTTTATTACAGTCCCTGTAATGTACTCTGGTTATTTTCCAATTCATGCAATACCTGACTTTATATTCTAGGCATCTGTAAGTGCACCAATAGTGGCAGTTAGGGATTGAAAACAGTGTCTAATGGTGACGTTCAGACAAAATATTTATTTGTGAAGGTGGCCATTTTAGTGGGAATGTTGTGACAATTCTCCCCGGATCTCTATATGTCTGAAATCGAGTTTTTCTGAGCAAAGATAATTACAGACAAATTAGGAAAGTTTGTATATTGAGACATTCGCTGAGAGTAAAGTTTAGAAATATCTCACTGTTTTGAGCTGTTCTAGAGCAATAAAGATAAACTTATCTCTATCCTCTTCCTGGAGAAAATATGCTTACATTCCAGAGTAAAGATATAGTCTCCCTGTCTTTTTTCTCCCTAGAAAGAGGTGTGTGACTGGGTCACCAGCAGCCCTACATAAGGGCGAAGCTTCTTAATTGCATTGCGCCCCTCTGCATATTTGGGTACTACATGAGCCTCACCACATCACCTTGTGGAGACTGAAACTCAGGGAACAGAATGGGCTCTGGCTGCTGCTTTTACTGAGGATAATAAACTGTATTTTTTTCTTGTAAAATTGCTTAAGTTCCTAGTAGATTCTGGACATTAGCCCTTTGTCAGATGGATAGATTGCAAAAATTTTCTCCCATTCTGTAGGTTGCCTGGTTTTTCTGGTTTTTTTTTTTTTTTTTTTTTTTTTTTTTTTTTTTTTTTTACTGTGCAGAAGCCCTTTAGTTTAATTAGATCCCATTTGTCAATTTTGGCTTTTGTTGCCATTGCTTTTGGTGTTTTAGTCATTAAGTATTTGCCCATGCCTATGTCCTGAATAGTACTGCCTAGGTTTTCTTCCAGGGTTTTTACAGCTTTAGGTCTTACGTTTAAGTCTTTTTTTTTTTTTTTTTTTTTTTTTTTGTGACAGAGTCTCACTCTGTCGCCCAGGCTGGAGTACAGTGGTGCAATCTCGGCTCACTGCAAGCTCCGCCTCCCGGGTTCACGCCATTCTCCTGCCTCAGCCTCCCGAGTAGCTGGGACTACAGGCACCTGCCACTACACCCGGCTAATTTTTTGTGTTTTTTTTTAGTAGAGACGGGGTTTCACCGTGTTAGCCAGGATGGTCTCGATCTCCTGATCTCATGATCCACCCACCTCAGCCTCCCAACGTGCTGGGATTACAGGCATGAGCCACCATGCCCGGCCACATTTAAGTCTTTAAACCATCTTGGGTTAATTTTTCTATAAGGTATAAGAAGGAGTCCAGTTTCAGTTTTGTGCATATTGTTATCCAGTTTTCCCAATACTATTTATTAAATAGGGAATCCTTTTCCCATTGCTTGTTATTGACAGGCTTGCCAAAGACCAGAAGATTGTAGATGTGTGGTGTTATTTCCTAGGCCTCTGTTTTGTTCCATTGGTCTATATATCTGTTTCGGTACCAGTACCATGCTGTTTTGGTTACTGTAGCCTTGTAGTATAGTTTGAAGTCAGGTAGCTTGATGTCTCCAGTTTTAACCCCATCAAAAAGTAGGCAAAGGATATGAGCAGACACATCTCCAAAGAAGACATTTATGTGGCAAACAAACATGAAAAAAAGCTCATCATCACTGGTCGTTAGAGAAATGCAAATCAAAACCACAATGAGATACCATCTCACGCCAGTTAGAATGGCTATCCTTAAAAATTCAGGAAACAACAGATGCTGGAGAGGATGTGGAAAAACAGGAACATTTTTACACTGTTAGTGGGACTGTAAATTTGTTCAATCATTGTGGAAGATAGTGTGGCAATTCCTCAAGGATCTAGAACTAGAACTACCATTTGACCCAGCAATCCCATTACTGGGTACATACCCAAAGGATTATAAATCATTCTACTATAAAGATACATGCACATGTATGTTTATTGCAGCACTGTTCACAGTAGCAAAGACTTGGAACCAACCTAAATGTCCATCAATGATAGACTGAATAAAGAAAATGTGGCACATATACACCATGGAATACTATGCAGCCATAAAAAAGATTGAGTTCATATCCTTTGCAGGGACATGGATGAAGCTGGAAACCATCATTCTCAGCAAACTAATACAGGAACAGAAAATCAAACACTGCATGTTCCCACTAATAAGTGGGAGTTGAAGAATGAGAACACATGGGCACAGGGAGGGGAACATCACACACCAGGGCCTGTCAGGGGTTAGGGGGCTAAGGGAGGGATAGCATTAGGAGAAATACCTAATATAGATGACAGGTTGATGGGTGCAGCAAACCACCATGGCCCATGTATACGTCTGTAACAAACCTGCACATTCTGCAAATGTATCCCAGAACTCAGAGTATAATAAAAAAATTAAAAATAAAAATAAATAAACTGGCTTTTTCTCTGACCCAGAAGTTTTGTGTGTTGTGTAAGAGTGTGTGCTCTGTGTAGGCACACATACACAGAGCATACACAGTATCAGCACACGCACCTACTCTCTGTTGTCTTGTAGGTAGAATAAAATACCAGATTCTTCAATGTTTCTGACCTAACAGAGGATAAGTTGGGTTATGTTGCAATAACACCACAACAGCAAAATCAAAAACTTGGTGGCTTATGATAAAATGTGATACAGCATTTGTAAGAAATAAGCCATTGGTGGCATAAGCCAGTAATGTGTGTCTGTATTTGTGTTGGAGTAACGTAATCTAGCCCCTTTGGTGAGGGAAGCAAACAAATAAATGCAGAATTTTGCTTTTAACATGAAAAATATAGATTTTCCTGTGCCCTTGGGTGCATCAAAAAATTAGCCATGCTTCAGTTTTTGCATTTGTAAAACAAGAAAAACTCACCATATAGCCTTTAACACCCCATAGCCAATAAATATTTGAAGGTTTTATGAAGATATTTTAATGCAATAAAATATTTCTTTCAAAATTAAGTATGCACTGGCTACTCTGAAACAGCTGGGTGTCTACTTCATGTTGTTTGCTACAAGGGCAGGAGATAAACAGTAAATTAAAATATGCACTGGCCCTTATAGATTCTGTCCATCATTTTGTTGGTCAGTTTTAGTCATTTCACTCTGCCTATCTTCAAGGGGAAAGTAACTGCCAGCTTATCTTATGCCTGGAAGTAGGAGAACGAACATTATGAAACCACATACTATATCTCCAAGCTGCGATTTTGCTACAATTCCATGAAGTAAGATTATGTAACTCAAAAAAAAATCATCTTGGCATTTAGATACAATAAATTCATAAATGAAAAAGTTCATGGACAAAGTTTCGGATTAACACCTGTTTACTATTAAGCTAAAGAGGAGCAGAATATTTTATGTCAAAAAGAAAATGACTTCATCTAAGATTGTATGCTCACTCAACAAGCCTGGGCTCTTTTAAAAAAACACTTAAGAGAAATGTTGTAATTTAATTGTATAAGATATCTGAGAAGTATAAGCAAGCAATGGCTAAGCATTTCAGTAAGAACGCTTTTGTCTTTTTTTTTTTTTTTTTGAGACAGTCTCTGTCACCCAGGCTGGAGTACACTGGCACCATCATGGCTCAATCTGCCTTGACCTCTCCAGGCTCAAATGATCTTCACACCTCAGCCTCCTGAGGTAGCTGGGAATACAAGTACTACATGCGCATGACACCATTTCTGTCTAATTTATGTATTTCTTTAGAGATGGGTGTTTTATCATTTTGCCCAAGTTGGTTTCAAACTGCTGAGCTCAAGCGATCTCTCTGCCTTGGACTCCCAAAGTGCTGGGATTACGGGCATGAGCCACTGCATCTCGCCCTTTTATTTTTTTATTACTGAAAAAGTAATTGGCCCTCTAGATTCCTGTAATATGAAACCAATTAAATTATCCGCATATATTTGCAGGGTAGTTTACTCTTTGCCCATCCGGCCTTATCTCACTGAAAGCAAAGCTTTATGAGTAAACTCCTAAAAATTTAAGCAAATTATGATGATAACTGTTGCCTTAAAGCTAAATAGTTTGTTTTAAATATGGTGCTCAATAAGCAAGAGTTACTTTAATAAATCTCTAGATTTGCTTCATTAAGATAATCAAGTAGCAGATGGGTTAGGCCTTCTCTTGTTTTTCATCCTTTTGCCCTTTCCAGAATCTTACCTACATAATGTCCCAATTCCTGAGCAATTCTGAACTAAGAAACTCATCCACATTCTTGAATTCATTTTCCATAAGCTAACTTGGTCGTTTTCATCTCTATGTCATATTAATGTAATGTAGTTGTGTTAATGTAGCCACAAATGTACTGTTTATTAAATTCTCTCCAAATATTTGTGAGCAATCAGAATGATATTATAAACATCCTTTAATGTTTTAGTATATCATTAACCTCAAGCTTATAATAGTATCTATATTTTATTTTCTATATATTTTTATATTTGTAAGTGAAATTGTGTGAGTAAAATACTTAATAAAATGTGTCAACATATATAATTGGACCAATGTGAAAATTAAAATGGTTCTCTGACATTTGGTATTAAAGCTTATGTTTAAATTTTGTCTCCCTCTGTTGGAAAAATCATATTGCTCTACAACTGGGTGCTTTTTTGCTTTTTTTGTTTGTTTGTTTATGAAACTGGGTCTCACTGTGTTGCCAAGGCTGGTCTGGAACTCCCGGGCTCAAGCAATCCTCCCGTCTTGGCCTCCTACAGTGCTGAGATGACTTTCGTGAGCCACCTGTGTTCTGCCCTATAACTGAGTCTTTACCTTTTCTTCATATACTAAATGTAGCACACCTAGGCATTATTTACATGGGGAGAATTGTCTCAGAGTTATACGCCAATCAAAGATTAACAGATTGTTTTTATGCCTGTATTTTTTTTTGATAACCTCCTTGTTCATTCTGGAACACTTTTATAGGTTTGATCTCCTGAGACACAAACTCTGAGACAGAGACAGATTAATTTCCAAGGAGTTTATTAGGAAATGCTCTTGGGATCAACACTTGCTGGGGAGAGATGGAAGCGGAAGTGAAGAGAGAGAAGCTGGGCTGTGAAGCAGTTTCAAGAAAATCTCTCCTGATTCTGTGGGATGGTCTGAAGCTGGTATCGCTCTAACAGGGTTGAATTTGCAAACTCATTAATAGAAATAAAATGTTGGCAATCTAGATGCAAATGTTAAATAATCAAATCTACTTCTGTGATTTCAATTTTCTTTTCTAGGACCTTGTTATGATCAAAATGTTTGTGTCCTCCCAAATGTATATGCTGACATTCTGATTCCCAAGGTATCAGGTATGGGGTCATATAGTATCAGGATGTGAGGCCTTTGAGAAGTGATTAGGTCATGGGGGCATAAATGGTATGAATGGAATTGGTGCTCTTATAAAAGAAGTCCCGGAGAGCTACCCTGCCCCTTGTATCATGGGTTGTGAAGACACAGCTAGACGCAACCATTAGTCTACAAGGAAAAAGCCCCTCAGCAGACACTGAATCTGCTGATGACTTGATCTTTGATTTCTCAGCCTCCAAAACTGTGAGAAAGAAATTTCTGTTTATAAGTTACCTAGTGTATGGTATTTTGCTATAGCGTTCTGCACAGACTAAAACAGACTTACATAAAATAATATGATGAAAGCAGTTAACTGCTTAGCTAAGTGTCAAGCCATTACAGATTCTCAAAAAATACTAGCATGCATTATTTTTCAGAAGTGATATTATGGCTGGGAACTTCCGTTGAATAATTATTATTAATTTTCTGTATTATCATGCCATCACTACTTCTATATTATAAATAATGTCAACTGTATCTTTTATGAAAATTGAAGGACTTCACATTCATTGTATAAAAGACATACTTCCAGACAAAGGAGTGAGTTATGACGGAGCTGCATATGTCTGGGGTTACCCTTGCATAGAACATAGTTGTTAATCATAATCATAGCTCTATTTCCTTATGTGGTAGCATTAAAAATGGATGTTCACTTAAATTAGGTTGCTCATCACTGAAAATCATTTCATGCTACAACACTGAAATGGGAAAACAAAAAATGACTGTACTTGTAAAAATTGCTTATGACACACCAGGTACTGCAATTAAAGGAAGTAGAAATTGCCAAATCTGTATGGACGATCATAAAAATTATGTTAGTTACCTCTTAAAAATACTCCTCCCTTCATTCTGTCTTAATTAAATTCTGAAATTCTTCTTAGATACCAGAAAGAACTTCTAGATCTCTACTGGTTTTCTCATACACTTTATATCTCTTTATGCTACCATAAAACTTAAAAAATCCTTATGTTCAGTCTTTGGGCTCACTGTTTTTCTCCTAAGTTGCAACTGTTTTGTTATTCAGCCTATCTACCAGTTTTCCTAATGGCAATGATAAAATTTTTACATTTTTAATACCAAGATCTCTAGAAGATTTTTCATAGAGCAGATACTCACCCCCAAAAGCCTTTGTTTTAACAATAAAACAATTAACTTATTCATTTACAATATTATGATTGCTCTTCTATTTTTTGTTTATTTAGGCCAAGCATGTTTGTATCCCCCAAAATTTATCTGTTGAAACCTTATCGCCAGTGATGATATTTGGAGGTGGGGTCTTTGGTAGGTGGTTAGGTTATAAGCGTGGAGCCCTAATTAATGCAATTAGTGCCCTTATAAAAGAGACTTCAGGGAGCCCCTTCTTTCCTTCTGCCACGTAATGACACATTGAAAAGACAGCCATCTGCGAAGCAGGTTGTGGACCCTCAATAGACACCAAATCTGCTAATGCCTTGATCTTGGATTTTCCAGCCTCCAGAACTGTGTAATAAACTTGTTTATAAAGCACCCAATTTATGGTATTTTATTATTACAACCTGAATAGACTAAGACAAGCTCCATTTCCTCTATTTAGTGGTGGTTAATTTTCTGTTCATTTATGTATCTCTTAAATGTAAGAATACCAGACCCTTGGTATTTGTAGGGGAAGGGCAGAAAATAAGCATTGTGCTGGATGCGTGTATTGAAGGTGTTGGGCTCTCCTGTCCCAAAGGGGTCGATGGGTTTTAGGAGAGCTGCCCCACTGCGCAGCCTGGAAACGAGCTACCCCGCTTTGACAGGCGAGCACATTGAGCGTTACAAGCAGTGTTACAAGAGCGGACATGCTGACCTGTTGCAGACCCATGGTTAAATACCCTGAGTCTGTAGAGCGGCCCCACCTACTTTGTATAACCTTTGTCATCAGCTTCGAGCTCTTCTAGATAAATGTGACCTACGCAACATTCTTCGCCTCTTTATGTGGGAATGTGCTTTCCTTTATTTTTCATTGTTTTGTTTATTTTGTTTCCTCTTTGCCTGGACCACCACCACTACTAGTTCTTCTTCTTCCTCTCCTTCTTTCTCTTCTTTCATTTTGTTTGTTTTTTACTATTTATAACCTCTTCAAACTCTCAAAAAAACTAATGTTGTCTTTATTTTTAATTAAATAATGAATTTTGAGTTTTAAAATGTCTGCTATTTCATGACATTTGTATGAAAGTGTTATATCCTCTATCCTTACATGGCAACTTAGTCTTCATTTCTGGCATTTAACTGCAACACCAGATGCTAGTGTATAAACTGACTTAAAACCTTATCTTTTCTTTAAGATCACAGTAAGCCTTATAATATTTTCTAGCATGATGTCTCGTTTTATAAGCATAGTATTATTTATTAATTTAAATTAATAGTATAATGTAAATGAATAACACTAGTTTAACTGGCAAATATTTAAATAGGATTCTATTTTGTAATTATTTTTTATATGTCAATGAAATTTGCATGATGAGATCATCATTCAATATTTAGTGACAATTCATCTCTCAGGCCAAAAGCATTGTGCTTTAAAAAAAAAGTTTATTCAATTGTTAACGTTGACTACAAGATGATTAAAAAAGATGAGGCACATAGGTGATCGATAGCCTAATAATCTAAGACAAATAGATATTGAGCTCCTTAAAGACAGGAACAAATTATTTATAGTCCCATGGAAACTGAATTTTTCTGTAAATCATAATCGTTACTCAATAATTGCTTTGATTTCTAAGACACTATATTTGCATCTGTCTTATAGATATATTATTGTTCAAATTATTCAACAGAAAATCTAGAAACAAAACTAATCTATCTATTTGAGAAGAATATTTGATGTAATGAGAGCAATTTTCCAAATAGTTGCATTGGGGAAAAGAAAAATTAAATAATATACTCATGGCATCATGGAAGACATGGGAAAAAATGGATGCTACTCAAATTTTACATTTATAAGTGTATTCATCTGCTTATTTAAACACAGTCTTTGACATTTAATTTATAACATATTTAACATTTTATAAAGGATTTGTTCCAATATATTTAACCTCTCTTTAGCTGAAAATTAATCTCCAAATTATACTTATTAAACACTTTATCCCATATCCTGTGATTTTCAGAATCTTCAGCTTATGAAACCATATAATTTTAAAAGTAATCTTATTAAATGTGTGAATTGCATTAGTTCTCATTGATCTGAAGGGCTGTATTTTTGTGAAATTAACTACTTTGTTCTGTTATGATGACTACTGGGTTTTTCAATGAAGTTTGTATATTTCAGGTATGAAAGCAGGATTCCAGCAAGTAACTTATTAGATTTATCAGTTTACTCTTGTTTCCAGAGTATTTCCCCAGAGGTATGGCAGCAGTAACTCTATTAAAGACACCAGGTCCCATTTACTTTCATGTCACACTTTTCTCTCTTGATTTTCTCAGAACTAGACTTGTTGGTTTTCACTGAGCCTCAGACATAAATAAAAACAATATACCTATTCACCAATCTCGCTGTTAAATTTTATTTTAGAGAAAAACGATGTAGACTATGATATGTTCAAATTTAGCAATTCTTATTTGTAAATTATCTCTGATATACTGGCATTATTAACTTGATTTCTGTCCTATAACAAGTTTTAATACATAGTTACATAAGCATTTATTTTTAAGGGATATAATTTCAGACATTAGCTGACTGCATTTAGTTTTTACCTTTTTGCACTATTTTTTCTTCCAATTATTTTGGAAATTGCTACTGCAGCCAACAATAGCTACAGTATATGTTTTGAAATAATATTTTTACTATTTCAACCACCAAAAGTATCTCATTTATTATCTAGGTGTAGCAGCCCTCATTGCTTCTAGCTTGCTTACAAATCCAACCACTAAAACCTATTCTTTGTTTTTTTTAAAAAATTACTATAATTAGAGTCTTGCTTCCTTATTATACTTAGCTATAGATTTTTTCATCTATATTTTTTCTGTTTAATTATTCTTCTCTCACTTCTAAAATATGCTTTGTAAAAACATCACCAGTGACGTCCTTATTACTAAATTCAGTGAACAAATTTAGTCATTCTCTGCCTTGACCTTTATGAAATATTTACCACTGTTAATCAAGGAGGTAGCAATCTACCAACCAGTGATAGAGGCAGGAGGCAAAGGCCTAGGCAGATAGGGGCGGTTCCTGGTGAAATCCAACCTTCAAGCTGGAAACAGTCCTGGGTAAAACCTCGAACAAGATTGAGAACCTGCCTTCCCATTTGGCACACTTTCCTCTGATTGATCCCCATCCTTTACCTAGTTTATATATACCTACCCTAGCCTAATTGGTTTTCTACACTATCTTCTACACCTTAGAGTGATGTCTTCACTTTAAACTTTTTTGCATACTCACAAACCAATCATCACACACTCTGTATTCTGAGCCCATGAAACACGGGGGGGTTAGCCATATTGGGAACTCTCCAACCTTCGGGTAGGGATACCACACCCATGTCTCCTTTCTGCTAACAGCTGCTTCATCACTCAATAAAACTTCCTACCTGGCTCACTCTTCAAGTGTCCATGTGCCTACTTCTTCCTGGTCGTGAGAAAACAGCCCAGACCTAGCTGAGCTAAGGAGCAATCCTGCATCACCAGGATGCCCGGAAAACACCCTTGTAGAAGACTGTGGTTTGAGAGGGCCCACTAAGGCCCTTAAATATAATTGAAGGTTCAAACTCTCCTATTTTCCATCTTTGCTTAGCATCAATTTTGCTGCAATAGAATGGGGTCACCCAACAATAAACTCTATCTTTCAACATGCTAGTTCATGTTATAGGAGCTTCTCTAAACGTTGTGAATTCTGTCTGCTAGCAAAAACAACATAAGAGTGATTTCTGATTTCAAAAAATGGCCAAATCTGTTATTGGCAAAGTTTCTGGTAATACAGCTGTGAGCTCCAGGCTTCATGTGAATTATTTAGCACCTGGGATCCTTTTGTGTTTTGTGAAAGATAAACTGAATAGAATGTCTTTGTACCCAGGTGGAGAGTAGCAAAACACTAAGGAAAATAATTAAAATAGAGCAAGTCCTATGAATGTTTTTTGGAAGACAATACGAAGAGTAATATAAATGTTAATTTTCTACTTGCATTTGGGATTTCCATTTTCCACTTTTTTTTTCAAATACTTATTTTCTGTAATTTTTACAAGATGATTCAACAGGCTACATAGACCGTGTATTAATACATATTAGATATTGTATCTTATGACATAGAGATAGTACAGTATACATTTCTTTTTTATTTTTCTTTCTGGAACTTTATAAGGTAGGTTGGTCAAAAAATACAAAGTATTGTGCTTACAGATGGTTCCAGAGCAAATTCAGTAGTTTATCATAACACTCATTGATTAAATATGCATAATATTCTATTCCCCAGAATTATCTTTAACTGACATGGAGTAAAAACTATTTAGAGTTTTTGTGAGTTTTCCTTCATGTCAAAACTTAGTAAATTAAAAGGGATTCAGAGAAGTTCTTCAGAAATGAGTAGTCAATAGAAAATGGGTCGTTTTTGTATTTGTTTTTATTAGTAAAAATTAATAGAGTACATGTGAAATTTTGTCACATGTATATAATGCACATGTGTATAATGCACACTGATCAAGTCAGGGTATTTAGAGTGTTCATAAATTTAATGTTTGATAGTAGAATAGGGTGACTATAGTTAACAAATTGTATTATACCTGCATATAATGCATTTTTGTGAACTATAGTCACTCTACTCTACTATCAAACATTAAATTTATTATTTCTATCTGACTGTGTATTTGTACCCTTTAACCAACTTCTCTTCATCTCCTCTTCTCGAAAATTCCTAATGTAAAATAAATCTCTTACATTAGGATCTCTTACATTATTAATCAAGGATAGTCTAAGATAAAAAATGAAAGAAAGGTAATTTAAAGGTTATATCAAAGAGTCATATGGTGAGATTGAATTGAGAGGGAATAAAGAAAAAGGGAGATTCATGTTAAGATATTTGTTGAATGTATATATGTATTGTGGATGGTTTTCTATTACATGTAAATTCTTCCAAGAATCCTCATGGTCTATCTTACACAAATTTTTATCAATACTATTTTTCCTCATTTACTTCCCATTATCTGAAACTATATTATTTATTCATCAATATCTCCCCATTCTAAAGCACACTCCAAGACATTAAGAACTTTGACTCTTCTATTTTTGTGTCTCCAGCACCCATAGCAATTTGTGGTACATAGAACATAATCGATACTTCTTGAATGACTGAATAAACTGAAGTATTCACAGACTGGGATAGAACTTGCAAGTTCTCAGTGGTCTTGGGAGTTGCAGAATAATTCAAGTTACCTCTTGGCTTTTAAGATATATATGAATAAACACAGAGAACAAAGAAAATTAGCTTTTCAAAGCGAAAATGGAAGGTTAATTGTGCCTGTCCAAGAAGATCAAGAGAATACCACAGAGAACAACTTTCCTAAAAGGGTCCTTTGCCATAAAAACCAGGAATAATTTCAAAACAACCTGAGTGGATACATCTCAAGCACAGAAGAAAAAGAGCCACAAAGTCCAGCTTAAAAGGATGTCAATTGCTGACCCAATGACCCTAAAGTTTTAGCATTTCTTAAGTATTCTCTGGCTTCTACACAACTTTGTTTATGCATGTTCTGAATATTCATACCTTAGTTTATAGATGTCAAAGTTGACCGTACGCTTGGCTAAATTGTAGAGTAAGAGGGGTTAGTGGGAAGGCTGAGAAAACAAGGCTACAGATGCAAGAAATTTCCAAATGCTAAGCATTTTAATAGTTGTCTCAGTCCATTCAGGTTGCTATAACACAATGCTTTAGACTGAGTGGCTTGCAAACAACAGAAAATGACTTGTCATAGTTCTAGAGGCTGGGAAGATAGCTGATGCTACAAAAGGATATCACTAATTTGGAGTTGCTAAGAGACATGCACCTTTTTTTCCAGATGATGCACACATGCCCTCCACATCACTGAATTCAATGATCTTATATTATATGTGAAATGCTTTATAAGAAGACAGATTATGATTAAAGAAATATATTGTAAATTCTAGAGCAACCACAGCACAACTATAATAACCGCCATAATTACAATAATAATAAATAATAATTACAATAATAACAAATTACAATTGCTGACACACCAATAGTGGAAATAAAATGGAGTCCAAACCATGGCAGGAAGGCTTAATTAATCTAAACAGAGGCAGGGAAGAAACAAAAGATAGATGGGAAAAATTAAAATAGCTAAATAAGTAGAGATAGGAACAAGCAAGTTAGACGTGATTATCAAAAATCTAATGGGTACATATAAACCTGGGTTAATGGAGGCATATGATATATTTCCTCCAAAAGGAAAGCTGTGAAGTTTATGAACAAATACCACTCTTTGTTATCAGCTTATTTCAGAATTTTAGCTACTGTCTTTGGATGCAAATCTTGAAAACAAAAAGGGATGATGAAGGATGATAGAAAGGTAAGAAGGACTCTGATATTCAGTAAATTTCTGAGTTTTATCTCCAACACAAAACAATAAAAAACCCATTGAAAGAATGAAGTATGAACAAGTAAATTAACAAATTTTAGCCAAATTCACACTGCAAAGATTTTTATCTTTCTGTTTGGAAAATTAACTTGGCAATGTGCGAGTCAATCTCATCTCCCAAAAATGTTTTCAATAGTCCATGAAGTTTTGATCATCTGGTTTAAAATTCTGAATATAAACTATGTAAAACCCACATTTTAGTAGGCACAAAAAAAAACCGAAACATTTTGCAAATATCTGGTGTTCATATTCACTTGATGTTTTACTTGTTTGGAGAACATTCACCATCCTCTTCGTCTTCATCATCATCATTGTATCTGACATTTATATAGTGCTAACAATGTGTCAGGCATATATAGAAACTGCATTTTTTCAAGTTGACTATACCAGTGAGAAGAAATTGTGCATTTTTAACATTAAATTTTTCTCATGAGAATTTCAATAGTTAGATACTATTATTATACATACATTACAAATGAAGAGATTGAGGAACAGCAAGGTTAAGAAAATTATTGAATAAATGATGGAGCTTGACCTGAATCCAATCAATCTGGCTCCAAGGACTATGCTTCAACTACTCTCCTATGCTCTGTATACATAGATCACACTGTATGGACTAATCTCTAATCTATAATTTGTCATTTATTTGATTTTAGAAAGTCCTACTTCTCTCTGACCTGTTGCTAACTTCCCCAAAATAGCTCCTGGATGTATTCAAATATTTGCCATTATGCGTATCTTTAAACAAGCCCATTATGCATCAAGAGGTCTGCTCATTTATTAGCTTCACACTTTGATGATATCAAAAGTCAACGCCTCCAGAAGCATCCAGCTGCACCCTGCTATTAATTTACTGAAAAAGGACAAAGGCACTTTGCAAGACAAATAAATTTTAAGGTTATATGTATCATAATCAACAATGCTTCTGAATCTAAGGATTTCCCCTGGAGAGTTATTTACATATATCTTGGCCCTGGTGCCAATGCAATGATAAGCAGTTTGGAAATTTAAGAAAGGAAATGGAAAATTACTAGTTGTTGGTGAGGGTTAAAATAAATTTGAGATTTTAATTTGAAGAGTTTCATATATATCTTACAAATTTATGGTGTAAGCAGTTAAGGAACAACATATATTCAATGGTGTAAATATAATACAATGTTTTTAACACAGAAACCATGAATAACTTATTTCTAACATTTTTTATTAAAGCAGATAGGAGAGAGAAGTTTCATTTCATAGATCATTTCCCTGTATTTTACTGAACTTAAAATTGAATTACAGCAGTTCACTTTGTTCCAGACTCACCTTGAACACCATTCAAAGCTTTGCAAGTTAAGCAAGTTAAGTGTGAGGACATGTTCATATGATTTGGGGAACAGCCAGTCATTCACACTGTTCACTGTCATTCAACTTGGTTAGTCCACAATAATTTTCATCGTTGACACTAAGGAATGATAGACAGAACTAAAGGCTGGGCCTGCGGAGGAAAGAGGCTTTTATGTCACCAGGTTCTAAAGTGGATTCTCAGAAATGCGCTGAGTTATTTGTTTGTATCACCACTGTTACTTTTGTCTGAGAAGGAGGTAGGTACAAAGCCAGAGTCTTCAGAATAATCAGGCACGAAGTGGGGAGGATACAAAACTCTCACAATCAGAGGAGGAGAGCTTTTCCTCTCTAGTGGATCCTCACTGAGGGTGGCTGAGTCTATCCACATCTGACAGTTCCAACAGTTCCAATAAGGAACTAGGGAAATCTGAGGAGTATATGTTTCACTATTACTTGGTTTATGTAATATTCTCACTAAATTTGCATAACATTTTCTACTAAAGATAACGTGTCTGCTGGTTTTGTTTGTATTGCTTCATTGTCCCACTGTAAAAATACGCATTGTGAAAAACATTTAATTGTTACTGTAAGACAGCATACATGCTATGTTCTGTTATCGGAAATCAGAATTCAGTATGTGTTAGTTCTTTTCTATATGTGGCAAATGTACATGTTAACTGGAACTGTGTTAGACAGAATATTTACTCAAGAAAATTAAGAAATCCTGTCCATGTTTTCCAGATATGAATATTGGTGGCAGAAAGAAACCTGTAAATTAAATGGCACTGAGAGACTTTAAAGTTTAATGCTCTAAAATTAAGATTGGATGCATGTGACTTGTTAAGTATTTGTATGAAATTACTGTTTTGAAATGAAAGTAAATTAGACTGTTATTAACATTTAAAAATAACAGATGGATCATCATTTTTTAAACAGCATGTTAAATTATAAAACTATACTTTAATGTTCTTTAATGCTCATCAACATATTTACTTAGTTAATGTGAAATATATATCACTAAAGACGTTTTAACTATTCTGAGATGATGGAATGACTTTATAAGTTAAAAGAAAAAATATAGCTACATTTAATTGCTTATTTAATTGTTGCTAAATTTAAAAAATCATACCATATGAAAAACAGTGTTAAAATGTCAACTTAAAGGCAAAAGCTGAGGCAAAATTAATATAGAGACTTTATTTGGGCCAAGATTAAGGACAACAACCTGGGACACTTTCAGCAGCCTGGAGTCCAGGTTGCCTTGAGCAGGGCTCTGGAGTACAAAGGAGAGGCTCAAGTTTGTAAAGAACAAAGAATGAATCAGGAGAGGGGGTGATTACAAAATTGCTAATCAGGAATTCTCACTGGTTTACAGAAGTAATATTGATTAGTGATTGTCTATACATTGCTGAACCATAGGCGTACGGCATTTTATGGCTACTTAGCATTAGTCTAGATCCCACATAGGAAGAGGCTTCAAGAGGTAATTGTTTATCTCAAGGGGGAGTGAGATATGACTGCTTTCACATTCGTAACACCTCTCTGATAATTTAAAGAGGTTTTCATTCCTCAGATAAAGGTTTGGGTCTTTTTTTTTCCTTTTTCGATATGATAACTAAAAGCACAGAAATTGAGATTGGACTCTTGTCACAAGCTAGTGGCTGTCTTAGCCCCTTTGTGCCAGTGTAAAAAAGTACAACAGGATGGGTAATTTATAAACAACAGAAATTTGTTTCTCACAGTTCTGGAGGCTGGGAAGTCCAATGTCCAACCACCGACAGGTTCAGTGTCTGGTGAGGGCCCTGTCTCTCTGCTTCCAAGATAGCATTTTGTTCATGTGTCCTCCAGAGGGGCAAACAAACATTGTATCTTCATGTGGTAGAAGAGACAGAAAAGGTAAAAGGCCAAATGCTCTATGAAGCCTTTATCATGAAGGACTTAACTCATTCAAAGGAGAGAAGTTCTAACGACCCAATCACCTCTTAAAGTTCCTCTCTTGAAACTATTGCATTGGAGATTAAGTTTAAATACATGAAATTTTGGGGACACATTCAGACTACAGCAGTGAATTTGTTAACTTTAGCAAATGGCTTAAAATACTTGCGGTTCAATTTTTGCATCAACAAAATGGGCTTATTAACATATATTAAAACAGTGTTAATAAAGATTGAGTCATTATATGGAAAATAATTAACACAGTACCTAAAATATATTATGTAATAACATAATTTATTAATATCATTATTATTATAAAAATATCAAACATATTTACATACTGTTTTATGTTAAAGTAATTATTCTTAATGTTAATCTATTATGTTACTATTAGCTCTATTTTCTTTACATAATTTCCTGAAATTCAATGGTATATGAAGAGTTTTAAAAATTACCTAAATACAAGAATGAAAGTTTCAGAAACATCATAAAAATAACAGGCAATACATAATTTTTCTAATTATGTGAAAGCACAGTTATACAAGCACACTGAGTTACAAAAAATTTTAAAGTATTGCATTTTATTATTCTAAAAATAAACTAACCCAAATAGTATTCATTTTGAGCCTAACAAGTCCATTTTTTCCAGTAATCATTCATATTTATTATTTCCCAACACTTTAAAAGATATAGGCTTATGGGTGGTGCTGCATATTTGTTTCCCAAAGCCATAAAACTTAGATGAGGTCACTTTCAATTTTCATAAAATATGCCATCTAGACATTGGTTTGTATAAATATTATATTTTCCCAGAAGTTTGACAATTCTCTTTTTTAAAAAAATCAAAATAGCTTTCTTTTTGTAATAAATATAATTTCCATTATTTTAGAAACTGAAAAAATAGAAAATTAAAATAAAATTATAATTAGTCAATATATCAACCCACCACCCAGAATGCTTGCTGTCATCTTGGTGGAAGTATTTTCTTTGGTCCTTTTTAGGTGAAGGGGGAAGATTCTGGAGTCAGATTGCTTGGGTTAAAAACCTGGGTCCTCCATTTATTAATGTGTGAATTTGGACAAGTTATCTATAAGCCTTAGTCTCATCATCTGTAAAATGGGCATAATCTTTTCATAAGCCTCATAAGGTTGATGTGAGAACAAGCAAAATAATTTACATAAAAGTGCTTGGCGCATTTCTTGGCATGGAATTAATGCTCAATAAATGTTTTCTATTATTTTTTATTACTATTGTCAACAACCTCAATAGAATTAGACTTTTCTTTCTCTGCTTTATATCATATTGCAGGCATAGTTCCCTAATAGTGACACTTTTTCAAATTTATATTAATTGATGCATACAATTTCCTTCTAAACAGACCAGCTCTGCTTTCTGTGAGGAAACCTTGCAATTCCTGCTGCCCTAACCCTCTCCTCTCTCCAGAAGGCCACAGAATGGCCTCATATGGTCCCTGTAAAATTCCCACCTTTGGTCAGTTTTATAGATTAGGTCAGCCTCTTTGATCATTTCAGATCCTTTTGAATTCAGGCTAAACCTCTGTTCATGTGCCCATTTTCCTCTTTTCCTCATGAATCTTCAGGCTCAGTGATATTTGTTTAAAGTAACTCAATATTTACTTTATTTCTTTCAGCCTGAAAGAGACTGAAACATATTCCAAATGAGGATATACTAATTGCCTTTCATCTTTTTGTTATTGTCAGACAGTATATTGGGAAATTTTCCATTTTTCTTTAATATAATTGGTCTGTCATGAACATGGTCAATGAGGTCTATTTCAAAGGAGATTCCTAGATGTGAAATAAATAGAAAGCCCTTGCTATACAGTAAAATTGATTTCTAAAAATCTAATGTAACAATGTTTACTCACACAAAAACAACCTATCAGAAAATCTCAGTGTTTCCTCAAAGATAACGAATATTACCTTTTTAAATACGCCATTGTAACGGGAAGCATGACATCTCATTTCGTCTGATTTTAGCTTATTTTTCTCTTCATTATTTATACATTGTTTACACACATAAGTTTTTTCTTTATTCTAATAATAACACAGAATACTAATATTATTAAATAATTTGAATTTTATTTTCACTTAGCAAATTTGATTTGTTTTCCAAGCCAATAACTATACTTTCATTAGGTTATTTTAGCAAAAAAATAGTATTTCATTTTAATTTTATTCCATAAGTTTTATAAAAAATTTTTATGATCCCTATTAAGGATTTAAGGTTTTTTCAACTTGTGGCTATTTAAACATCATCATCAGGGTCATTCTTGATGCAAATTTTTTTTTTGCCAAAATGAACTGTAAGAAAAAATGTAAAATATAATAAAAAAGTAAAAAAGATATGTAAGTTTATAAAGAAACATTGAATTACCCTTAGAAAAAAATGCCCCAACAAATGATGAGTTCATGTCCTTTGTAGGGACATGGATGAAGCTGGAAACCATCATTCTCAGCAAACTATCGCAAGGACAAAAAACCAAACACTGCATGTTCTCACTCATAGGTGGGAATTGAACAATGAGAACACTTAGAAACATCACACACCGGGGCCTGTTGTGGGGTGGGGGCTGGGGGAGGGATAGCATTAGGAGATACACCTAATGTAAATGACGGGTTAATGGGTGCAGCACACCAACATGGCACATGTATACATATGTAACAAACCTGCACGTGTGCACATGTACCCTAGAACTTAAAGTATAATTAAAAAAAAAAATAAAATGCCTCAACATACTCTCTCAATGTTCTCTGGACAATCAGTTTTTATCTCGACAATCACAGTGGCATATGATTTCCATTTTATTTTTGAAATATGTTAAATGCTGGTTGAATTGAATATTTCTGCATTTAGTGGCATGAAACTCTAAAAAACATATAGGGACAATTAAAATTTTTTCAGTTGACTTTCTATTCCTGCGTTTTGCTGGGTTTTGCTGTTGTTATCTTTCCAGAATCCCACCTTTGTTAGAATAATGAACTTTTAATTTTTAAATTATTTGTGTTTTTTTTTTTTTTTATTTTTATGTTTTCTACTTTTTAGAGAGAAAGTCTTGCTCTGTCTCCCAGGCTGGAGCGGAGTGTAGTGGTGCAATCACAGCTCACTGCAGCCTCAAACTCCTGGCCTCTAGTGTGTCCTCATGTGTGTTCTTTAGATGTTAAAAACATTAATGTTTCTTCTATCATTTTTGTTACATATATTCACAGCTTATAATTTGCCTTTCAACGATGTCTTATCTTTGGTATAAAGTTAAAAAACAGGTAGTCTGGACGCGGTGGCTCACGTCTATAATTCCAGCACTTTGGGAGGCCGAGGTGGGAGGTCACCTGAGGTCAGGTGTTTGTGACCAGCCTGGCCAACATGGTGAAACCTCGTCTCTATTAAAAATACAAAACTAAACTAGCCGGGTATGGCAGCAGGCACCTGTAATCCCAACTACTCAGGAGGCTGAGGCAAGAGAATTGCTTAAACCTGGGAGGCGGAGGTTGTAGTGAGCTGAGATCGCACCACTGCATTCCAGCCTGGGTGACAAGAGCAAAATTCTGTCTCTAAAAAAAAAAAGGTAGTCAAATCACGTTTTATATATGTATATTTATTTATTTAAACTTGAGTTACTTCATGCATAGAGATTACGTTATTTGTTAAATATTAGCCTAGATATTTTTCTATTAAAAGCTTATTGACTTGATGTAATTTAACACTACTAGTGAAAAATTATGTTGCCATCACTTACTCCCAATATGATATGTGGAGAAGGGCACTCCATCCACTATTGTGATATTCTTCCCGGAAGACCAAACATTTGGTATAACCACGAGGAAACATCAAACTCAAATTAAAGGACATTCTACAAAATACCTAAGCATTTTTCTTCAAAACTGTTCATGTCATAAGAAACTATTAATAGGAAAGACTGTCATAGATCATAGGAGATCAAGAAGATATAACGACTGAATAAGACATGGCATTGTGAATAGGATCTCAAAACAGAAAAGGGAAATTTGTGAAAAGCTGGAGAAATTAAAGTATAAGCTATAATTTACCTAAGAGTACTGTATCAATTTTAATTTCTCAGTTTTCATGAATGTGCCTTTATTAGGTAAGATCCTATTGTTAGGAAAAGCTAGGTGAAGAGTATACAAGAACTCTTTGTAGTGCATTTGCATATTTTCTGTAAATCTATAATTATTAGAAAATTATTTAAAAATTATGATCATATATTTATACCATGACATATCTTAACTTTGCTTTGTTTTATTTTATTTTATGTATTTTTTTGAGATGGAGTTTCGCTCTTGTTGCCCAGGCTGGAGTGCAATGGCATGATGTCAGCTCACTGCAACCTCTGCCTCCCAGGTTCAAGTGATTCTCCTGCCTCAGCCTCCTGTGTAGCTGGGATTACCAGTGCCCACTACCAGGTCTGGCTAATTTTTTTGTATTTTTAGAAGAGACTGGATTTCACCACGTTGCCAGGCTGGTCTCAAACTCCTGACCTCACGTGATCTGCCAGCCTCTGCCTCCCAAAGTGCTGGGATTACAGGCGCAAGCCACCACACCCTGCCTGTTTTATTTTAATGTAAATATAATAGATAACTTTTTTTTTTAAGGCTAAGATCCACAATGGCAGGTATATTCCTATAGGCTTCTGTGAGAGGATTTTTAAAAGTTTTATTTACATTTTTATCAAATATTCTAATTTATTTCAGCAAGAGTTTTTTTTTTTTTTTACTTGTCAGAATTACATCTCTATCTTTTTCCTAATTACACTTTCTGTCTCTTGTGTTTTAGATTCCATGCTACCTTTCATCCTCTTGAGTTCTTCCTTATAAGTTTTCCTCTCTGACCAAAGTCAGTTTCAGAAGTATGATGACATGCACATTCAGTTTAATTCTTATTCTTAAGGTGTCATACTTGCTTCATTTAACTTTGATTTCAGTATGTGTTGTTTGTTTATTCATCTTTGAATTGTAAGCATGACAAGACTCAAGCTGTAACATTCTCTCCTGTGTCATATATGAGGATAGAGCAATGCTATTTCCCCCTATGTGAATTTGGAGCTCCGAATATTTAACTTTCTATAGTGATGGGCTATTCTTCTGATGTCGAGCCCTTTTTTCTCACTGGAGGCTTTCTTGACTAATACCTTGAATTTCACATACGTCTTTTGCGCCTGGCCATTTTGACCCTCTCCTTGTGCTAGAACTAATCTGTATGTATTTCTTCTGCATATGGAAACAGATTAATTTCCACAAGAAAGTAAATGTCTTATGAGAGACTCCTTTATATTGTAGGTTCCAAGTTATAGGCGATCCAGAATGAGATTACTTTATGGGAGAGACAGATGTAAATTGAGCTTTGGGTGACTGAAAGTAATTTTCTTTCCATTTCATGGGTATTACTCTATTTTTTCGTCAATACTACCAAGAAGTCTAGAATTTAAGGATAGATAATGTGGGTAAATCAAAGTAGCCTTAACTTTAAAAAATGTGTATTTTATTAAGTTCCATTGAAGTTGCTTTAGTGCAGAGTACATAACAAATGAAATGTAATACAAGAATGTACTTTCTAGTCTTTTCAGCTAATATTGGATTACATTAAATCCCTTACTTTTTTCAATACTCAGTTGCTAGATCTTGGCATTGTGTCCTCTCTCATGCATAATTTAAAGACATAGGCCACATCTAACTTTTGTTGTTATCTTTACAACCTTTTAAAAAATTAGCAGATTTTTTAGGCACTGATAGTTGGATATCCAAAGTTACAAATTACTTTTCTTATTTTGGTAGAATTTGCTTTCATAGTTTATTTGCTCATTTTAATAGATGATATTAGCTATTTTTATTTATAATGCAATACAAATAGTTTATACTATATCATATTTTTAAAACTCAAATGGAATTGTGATACAAATAAATTTTAGCAAATATTTGCTAGCCAAAAATAGTAATTAAAATAGTGACATTTAAAAAAAAAACTTGAGAGAAATTGCACTTTCATAAATTGTCGATGAGATTATATTTTACTTAATTTTCCCTCTAATATGTTAACATTTTATTTAAGTAATTCAAAGAATATAATAAGAATTCGTTGTCAGAGGCAACTGGCTATTAAAGGTTATTAGGAAAAATATATATATTTCATAATAAAACCCTACTGTAATTAGGGAATAACCTGTTCCATAAATGATGATAATTTGATTAGTGAAAACTGAATTTAACTTGGAGAATTTGATGAACTATAAAGAGCAGAGATAAACTTACAAACCACTTCCCAACTCCTTAGCAGCCTCAAAATTTATTAAAATGTAAACATGTATGATGGTATGATATATACACAATATTTTGTTTTAAAAATAGTTAATGCTCTTAGAATTTCTTTCCTTTACAGTATGTTTGTTTTTCCCCAATATTCACAATAACTATTTTCTTAAAAACATTAAGATTATTGTTGATTTTCATCTTAGACCCACACATAAGCATGATTAACATTTTGTGAAATATGTACCTTTGTATCCTATTACAGATAAATTAAAGTTAAAGATAGCCCTGTTATAGCCTTATACAGACCAAGGTAACAGAACTTGACAGTTTCAGGTTAATCACTGCAAGAAAAATATCCCTGCTAGAAAATAGAGAAGTTTTATATTATTCTTTGTGTTTATTGTTTGATTTTACACTAAACCTAATTTGTTTTATTATAAATAGTTTAATCTTTTTACATATTTTGAACGCTGGAAACCCCTTTATATAATGATCATGTTGTAAAGGTTTTAATGTGTAAGCACATTCATTTTCACAGGAGTTGTTGCTAAGTATAGTAAGTGTCTAGATGGGCATTTTAGACTTCAATGGCGCTTTAAAAGGAGATATGCTGAATATACTTGTAAAGAAAAATACAGGTATAAACACTATCATATGAGTTCAACAAATGTAAAGAACAGTATTCCTACCCCATAATGTTTTTCATTAAGACAAGCATATTACAATATAAATATACTGCTGCACTTTTGGAAAAGCCTTCCTACCCCACTTGAAATATATTATAAATAGAGACAATTTGACTTCTACCTCTTATGATATAGCATGTTATACTGTC
The DNA here is from genome assembly GCF_000001405.40 of Homo sapiens. NCBI lineage: Eukaryota > Metazoa > Chordata > Mammalia > Primates > Hominidae > Homo > Homo sapiens. The sequence continues at coordinate 20,754,132 of NC_000005.10, read as the reverse complement.
TATACGGGACAGACACATGACTCATTGTCTCAATCATAAGCCCCCATGATAACTATCTTTGTTTTTAATTGATCCATTAATAATAATATTAATGATAATGACAATAACTGTCATCAACAACTAACATTTTTATAATTCTAAATCTAAAATATGATTTTGGATGCAAACAAGATATAATTAAGAAAATTAATTATTAATTAAGAAAATTAAGAATTAAGAAAATTAGCAACAACAGGTTACAATCATAAACTAAGAAAAAACTAGACCTAATAAAACAGCAGGACCTAATAAAACAGCATAAAAAGAGAGAATGAGGAAAGGACCTGTATAAATAATGCCAAAGAAACAGATGACTGACAGTCTGTTCTTTAGGTCAACTTCCTCTGCTGGTTTATTGCCAAAATTCAGTCAATTTCCTCCCAATAAATGTTACCACCGACCAATTCTTCACCTTGTTTCTTTATTCTTGAATGTTCCATTTCCCACCAGCACAAAATACTAAAGACTTGAGCTCAGTTTTATTTTTCCAGTTACCTTTGAATTACTACCACAAGATACTAGTAAAACTAGCTGGTCTACACTCCTACTAAGATTTATCATTTGCTTCTGCTGTTCTTCTTTCCCTTATTAGAGGCCAATGCGAACCTACATTAATTAAACAGAGGAAAGAGGAAAAGAAACAAAGAAAGAGAGAGGAGTTTTATGAGCGCCCCCTCTCCTGCCCCATGGCAACTAGAAATCTATTTCACTACCAGTTTTAAATGTCAGAAGATTTTTCCTGGATCTTGACAATACAACATGTTTTTTTGTTATCGCTATATTATATCATATCACTTCTTCACCTATGCCCAAGTTCTCTCTTTATAATTATTATTGATTTTATTATTGACTCTCTTGGAGTTCCACATACAAGTGAAGTTCTTTGGAGTCAAGAGTATTCTTCTATACACATAGACTATGAAACGGCTTTGTTTCCAATATGTGTTTCCAGTAAAAAGCAAGATTAAGTACACTTATTTATTGTGCTCTCCCCGTGCTGAAAATCCAAGTCTACCTTAGGTGTTCTTTTGCCAGAATAGCATGGTTCTTAAACAACCTTCTATCTTCAGAAAATTGGTAAAAGGAGACACTTATATTTTGCAGTATCACAATATTTTTTAAAAGTACACGGACAACAGAATTTTATTTAAGAGCTATCTAGTATTTTCTCGTCATAAAGTGCTATATTTCAGTATTTTAAGTCTTAAGGAAGACAAAGTACTAATATGTGTAGTAAATAAAGGTATTCATAAAGGAGAAAATACAGAATAGAAAACTACTTTGGCTACCTCAAATTTGTATCTTACAAGACACAAGCAAAAAATCACTTACTGAGTCTTTTTAATGAAGAGTATAGACTAAAAGAACAATAATAAAAAAGTCAGGCCAAATCTGAAATACATTTTCTAAGTCATCAATTCACAATAAGATGCTTTCAATATTCCTACAGAAAATGCATGTTTGTGTGCACTGCATGAGACTGAATAGTGGCTTCCTAAAGATGTTTCTGTTACAATCCCAGGAACCTGTGAATACATTACCTTGCATGGTAAAAGGGAATTTGCAGATTTTATTGTGTTAAGGATCTTGACATGATGAGATTTTCCTGAATTATCCAGGTGAGTGTGATGTAATCACAATTACAAAGGTCCTTATAAGAGGGAAACTAGAGGTTGAGACGGCAGGTTGGGAGGAGGCCGGACAAAGTTTCAATAGAACCAGAGGTTGGTGTGAGGCACTGTGAGTCAAGGAATTCAAGCAGTCCCTAGAAGCTGGAAAAGGCAAGGAAATGGATTACTCCACAAGCCTCCAAGAGTAACTCAATCCAACCAACACTTTGATTTTTAAACTCCAACCTCCAGAACTCTAATTTTTTTCCTAAGAGAATTAATGTGTGCTGTTTTAAGCCACAAAGTTTGTGGCATTTTGTTACAGCAGCAATAGGAAAGTAATACAAGGACAAAGATCATGCATAGCTTCTTCCTTATCCTTTTCACAGCAGCAAGAACCAGACTCTGCTATATGGTAGGAAGTCAAAGCATATTTTCTAAGTGAATATATTTCTAATAAAAATTGCTAATTAATTAAATAATAATTACGAGGCATTGGGGTATAAAGTAAGATATGGGCAAAGTTCTGTTTCTCAGAACTCTGACAGCAGGAATCAGGCTATAAAAGCTTTAATCTTATTTCTTACCACTATTTTAGAGATCCCCAAATTCAGTTGTTTTCATAAGGTAGACACTTACTTCTCACTCCTAAAGTTCAAGAAGAGGGAAAACAGCCCAAAGTGATAGGGAACTCTGCTCCAGAGACATCCAGGTTCAAATTTCTGCCTTCCTTATTCCAGCGTTGCCTTGTGAAACACTTGAGCTATACAGTAGCTTGTTTATTTACATATCCTAACAATTGATACAGACTGTTTTCTGAGAACTTAGCAAGGGCTGTTGAATGGAGCAGCTATACATGGTGGCTCCATGTGGTCTGCACTTCCTCATGGTATAGTGGCTAGGTTCCAAAGGTGAACATCCTGACTCAGAAAGAAAGCCAAATTGAAGAGAATTATGTTTTACGAGTTGCCTTAGAGTTTATATTCCATCACTTCTACCATACTCTACCAGTCGGTTTAGTTACAAGTCTCAATTCAGTTTAATAAAGAGAGAGCTTGGAATCCAGGAAATATTTGGAGGATTGCCAATAAAATTGCAAGAAGAGCATGAGAAATGAGACATTATCATGTGACAATACGTGAAAAATACAGTCCAGTAGATCCGACAAAAGAGGGAAAAGATAGAGCAAAGGGCAAGCAGCGTTCCTTTGAAAAGATGCGATGTGAGGTTGTTTGCCTCATTTCTGTGCACATCTCTTTGGCTGAAGTGTAGTGAAATCTCTAAACCTAGTTGACACAGACCAGAAAAAACCCTGGAGGAAGGCTAGTTATTATTAATAGAAAGACAGACAGCAGTATCTTTTATAATCTGCACACCCTTCTTCCTAAAGTTAGAACATGTCTACCCACTTCCCAAGAAAGACAAGCCATAGTTACACTCAGGCATGGTATACAGTTCAGATGTCAGGATATTTGGGTACAGTCCTCTCTATCACAAAAGTTTCCTACGTATCATTAATAGCAACTATATATTACTTAAAATTACAATAAAATGTCTCATTTGAGAAAAAAAAGAATGACCACGCAGTCACTGCTCAGAGCAATAAAATTTTGCAGGACAAAAATTGCAGAGAATCTCTGCTCTACCAGTGGAGAAAGTTTCTTGCTTAAAACTGATCGCTGCTTATTGAAAAGAATTTCCTGTCCTCTATCCTCTGCGGTCCTGGCTTTCTCTCTGAAAAAATTTGTTCTTGTAATACATTCTCCCTCACCACATCTGCATGAATATTAAAGAGATTTCTTTTGTCAGAAGCACTGCAGTTTTCATAGCCTGCTTCTGCACCCACATATTTGGGAACTTGGGACTTTTTGAAGGCTAAATATTTGACTTCTTTAGTAAAAAAAAAAATTCTTAGAAGATTCAATGAGTTTATGGTCTAACTGCATACAGCTATTTTCTTGTGCTGGAAACCTATATCCAAGGCTCTTTTCTGGAAATAATTATGAAACCTATTCTTACGGTCTCACTTCTTTGTTAAGCCAGTGTCAATTGTTACCATTTTGATGATGGCTCTTGAAAGTATAAAACCATATAAAATAATAGACTTATTTGGAAAGCAACATACTTAATCTGATCTTTTGCACAGATGATCTATAGATTCACTTGTTGAGCTGAGAATTCTTAATGGACATTTTTTATTAAATCTTTTGAGCAGCAGGGTTATCTCCTACTGTGTAGGGTGATAAACGAAGGTGGCTTTTCCAGCCCCATCAGATCCCACATTTCTGGACTCTTTATTCTCTTCAAACTCTACTTGAAATTGTCTTGTTCTTCCTTGAGCTCATTAATTCCTGAAATAAGCTAGCTAAATGCAGCAATAAACAGCTAACACATGGTAACATTCTGGCCCTTTCCATCAGCCTCTCCTCCAGCTGAAGGCTCTTTAGGCAAGGGGTTTGCTCTTCCAGTTACCAGAAGTGACACTTTAAATAAATGTACTGCCTTCACTCTCACTTACGTGTCTATTCCACATTTTTTTTAGGTTTTTGTGGCAGGCAGAAAGCCTTCCAATGTACCAATTATTTATTAGCTACAGTAAAACCTACATTGCTAGAGCTAATAAGCCCCACAATATAGATTTCTTATTAAAACTGAAGAGTGTTTTCTGCTTACATTATGAGCCCAGGAACTCTATGCTCCATGAATCAGTCCAGAACCCAACAAATTGGGTATGGCTTTGTCATCCATGATACACAGCTATTAGTGTTGCCCTGGTCATCACCATTTTCATTTGGGATGAAAGTAAAAAACAAGGGAATTATGGGCAATTACATTTAATAAGGGGTATTGCTGTCCTGCATTTCACATTTACTTACATCTCAATCATGAGCACTCAGTCACATGGCACACCTAGCCACAAGGGAGGCTGAGAAGTACAGTCTCTCGGCAGAAGAGTATACCTGAGTTGGAGGAGAGCCAGAAGTCTGTTACTTGTGTAAATGCAACATATTATATCTGATCTTTGCCATAGAGATGTGTCACATTGTCTAAGGACTCTCAATAGGAGACCCTTGACAAGGGCTCTAGATGATCATTGTTTCCCTTATTTGGAGTATAAAAGTAGTTGATTTTTACAACATTGCAAGATATCAAATTACTAGAAATTTATGCAATTTATATTATAGGCCATGGACAGACAGAGATTTTATTACCAAGATGTATTCTCTTCCATTTCCATTGTTGTTTGCACACTGATTATTTCCAACCAATTAATTACAACCCCTTTATATCCCATACTGAAGGATCTGAGGAGCTGCCAACACACACCAACATGCTGGTCTTTTTCAACAACTTTCCTGGCAGGGTGCAGTGGCTCATACCTATAATCCCACCACATTGGAAGGCTGAGGCTGGAGGATCACTTGACCTCAGGAGTTCTAGACCAGCCTAGGCAACATAAGGATACTCCATCTCTACCAAAAAAAAAAAAAAAAAAAAAAGTTAGCCAAGCCTGGTGGTATGTACATGACTGTAGGCCTAGCTACTTGGGAAGCTGAGGTGGAAGGATCTCTTGAATCCAAGAGTTCAAGGCTACAGTGAGGTATGATCGTGCCACTGCACTCTAGCCTGAGCAGCAAATCGAGACCCTGTCTCAAAACAAACAGACAAAAAACCACATCACCATCCCTAAAGCAGTAGGTTTTGCATACAAAAGATCCTTTCCGCTGAGCTTAGCAGGGGTTGTAGCCATTAATTTTTAATAATAACTAGGAAATCACAATAAATAATCAAATTCAAGTCATTAAATTTGAGTTAACTGGTTATTCAGCAGTCCATGAAGTTTGGTCTTTTGGCCCTTTTCTTTCAGTAATGCTGGCATAACACATGGTGACAGAGGAGCAGCTTGGTAACAATGAGACAGCATGAATGAGGACGAAAGTCAACTGCTGGAAATTAGAGAGGGAAAGACAAAGATAATCTAATTCCATGAGGTTATCATGGAGACCCTCCCTCAGTTTCATGCTTTCCTCCCCTAGACTTCTGTTATATAAGAGATAATCCTTCATGTTTAAGCCATTTTCAGTTGATTTTTCAGGATATCCCATATTTTCCCAATAAAAAGTACCTATAAAATATTTAAAGTTTCTGCTATTGGTAACCATTAAGTGATGCCTTGCTTTTGCTTGTGAATATAACCTGCAAGACCTATTTCAAAAGCAAGAATTCTAGAAGCAGGATAATAAAACAGCAATTACATCATTCAGTGGATGAGTCTTTGTTTTGAAACATTAGCCAGATACCATGTGGTCACCAGGCAGATTCGGTGAACAAGCATATCAAAATGACACATTCAGGCCTATAAAGGGCTAGTAGAAGATTTTGATACTAACCACTCCTTTCTGTACATGAAGATCAAGTCAGAATATGTTTTGTTTTTCTCTTTGTCTCATTTTTAACCTTCTATTGTCACTCTACTGCAAATAGCAACAATATATATATCAGAGAATTATCAGTTAATGAACCAGTACCAAAAGCATTCTAACTAAATATTTATTAAAAATGTATGACCTTATTATTAATACATTGAAAAAAACTAAAAAATATATTTAATTTTTAAAATCTGGAAAATTTCTACATTACATCTTTACTCTCTCTCTATATATATGTATATGTATTTTAAAACATATATCCATATAGAAAACATATATTTCACTTCATAAATCTAGGAATTTGGAACATAACCCAAAAAGCACTGGCTTATTATACAAATAATTTGGGTCAAGATATCTCATTTCATGTTTCTTAGTTATAAAATATTTTGGTTGTGAGTAGATTTGAAAGAGCATGCGAATGCAAAAACTACTTATTAAAATCAGAGCATCCAAATCATGGTGGCAGTGAACGTTCAGCAGCATCTGAGGAAAATGCCATATCCATCATAGTCACATTCATAAATTTCTTTTGATTAGGCTTTGCAATCTTCAATGGAAATTTTCAGGGCCATTGAAAAAATCTCACACGTATTTTTTCTGTCTCAATCTTAATTCTTCAGAGAATAAATAAGGAAAGTGAATAGCTCTGTTAGGCATTTCTCAATCATCTTTAAATGGGTCATGGTTTTAAATAGGATGTGTCAAATTGAAATTATATGAACTAAATTATACCTAAGTTACACTGTACCGTCTGCTTAATGACTTCTTTACAGGGGGTCAGTGAGTCATCAACTATTAATTGCAATTCGTCTTTGAAACAGTCAAAATCAATGTATATTTTTCACTAAAGTGAAAGTCAAATAACTAGCCTCAAGAAACACTGAAAAAGAGGTAACTAAATAACAGTCATAAATATTCAGTATCTATAAGCAAACAAAAAAAATCCAGTTTTAATGTCAGATATATAATTTATTGCTAAATTCAGTCTCTTATATTTTGTTTCATGAATATGTACTTATATCAAAGATATATAATTCAAACTATCAAATCACTGAGATATCTATGTCCTTTAAATTTTTCTGGGACTTATATTTTCCTGTGTAAAGCCTATATTTCATATAGTTATTTTATATCCACAGAGATGAACTCACATTCTATCTTATTTTGACAGATCATTTTACTTTTTTTTTGTTTTATCATTTTCCTTTTCCTTTTTGCTCAATTGCACACTTTATTTCAAATGCTCAGTTTTATACTTAAAGTTTTAGTATGTACACTTGACTAAACAAATTCTATAGTAATAAATTTCTGCACTCTTTGTGGGCAACGTAAAATATTATTTCATGACTTCTCAGCCATCTCTCTTCTAACATGTCATTGTGCCCTGTGTCTTAATTTCACCACTTTTCCCAACAAAATATCCAGTATAGAATATTTATAGATCATCAATATTTGTTTAGATTCACCACTATTTGTGCAGTTTCTGATCTCATTAATCATTCTAACACATCATAGGAGGATCTGTGTCTACTTTCTGAAAGGTAATAAAAATAAAAAAAATTTATTGAATAATGTTCTCCTAGCCTTCGGCACTTTGTTCAACATTTTTTTTATTTGGCCATCAAAAATAGTATCATTAATATTTTCAAAATTATAAATAATAATTTGAAATTATCATTATTTGGATATATAATTCTAGGTGGAGAATTATTTTCTGCCAGCATTCCTTCTAAGAAATTATCCAGCTCTGTGTTTGTTGGAAATTTTGTTTCACCTTGTTGCTGTTTCTTAGTAAGCAATCTAAATGAGTATTAGATTTAAAAATTAATCTTCATATCTAATGCTGGATAGTTTCACCATAATGTATCTAAGATTCATTTAACAAATGTCTGCTAAGTATATGCTTGGTGAGAGACACAATTTTGGAATACACAGGTACAGTAGTTTTGAAAACTGTGCTGCCTGAGGTGAGGACGGACATCTTCCACCAATTCTGGAAAAACTTCAGCTGGTGGCCGGATACGGTGGCTCATGCCTGTAATCTCAGCACTTTGGGAGGCCTAGGAGGGAGGATCACAAGGTCAGGAGATCGAGACCATCCTGGCTAACACGGTGAAACCCCATCTCTACTAAAAAATACAAAAAATTAGCCGGGCTTGGTGGCGAGCACCTGTAGTCCCAGCTATTCGGGAGGCTGAGGCAGGAGAATGGCGTGAACCCGGGAGGCGGAGCTTGCAGTGAGCTGAGATGGCGCCACTGCACTCCAGCCTGGGTGACAGAGCGAGACTCTGTGTCAAAAAAAAAAAACAAAAACAAAAACAAAAAACTTCAGCTGGTATGTCTTGATTAGTATGGCCTTTTTCACACTATAATTCTTTAAACCTTTTGTTAGATATATCTTAGATGTTCTTATTATATATCTGCACATTTCTAACTCTCATATTCTCTGAATTCTAAACTCTCTGCAGTAAATCTTTGATCATGTTTTTAATTTATTTCTATAAATTTTCTCTTGGAACAAACTTAAAGTAACTTTTAGGTTATTTATTTTGGATACTGTTATTTTTTACTGTAAATGTTCATAGCTATGTGTTTCACTCTGAAAACTGCTTTAGTTTTTTGTATACTTTTTACCATTTTATATGTACATTATATTCATCTCAAAGCATTTTCAAACCTTTCTTGTAATTTCTTCGACCCACTGCTTATTTAAGAATCTGTTGTTTGATATCTGCATATTTGTAAATTTCTCAAATTTCCTTTTGAGGATTTTTAAAATTTCATTGAGGTTGAAGAATATAATTTGTATTATTGCAATTTTAAAAAATTTTATTGAGGCTTTTAAAAATGTTCCACGTGCACTTTAAAAAAGTATGCTTTCTGCTTTTGCTAAATGGAGTGTCCTATAGATAGATGTGTGTTACAGTTAGTTGTGTGTTAAAATCTTTGCCTTTATTGCTCTGTCTCCTTGTTCTATCCTCATTGAAAGAGGTATTAAAATCAACTACTACTGTTGAATTGTCTATTCTTTCCTTCAATTCTGTCAATATTTATCTAAAGTATCTTTGGATTCTGTTGTTAAATGCTTAGATAAATTTTATATATTCCCAAATCTATTGACTCTTAGCATTATGCACTGTCCCTCCTTCTATCTAGCAACATTTTTTAAAATTTTATTTTTGTTATTTGAGATGGAGTCTTGCTTTGTCACCTAGGCTGGAGTGCAGAGATGCTATCTCGGCTCACTGCAACCTCCGTCTCCCAGGTTGAAGCGATTCTCCTGCTTTAGCCTCCTGAGTAGCTGGGATTACAAGCGCCTGACACCACGCCCAGCTAATTTTTTGTGTTTTTAGTACAGATGAGGTTTCACCATGTTGGCCAGGCTGGTTTGAACTCCTGACTTCAAATGATCTGCCTGCCTTCACTTCCCAAAGTGCTGGGATTACAGGCATGAACCACTGTGCCCAGCCTTTCTAGCAACATTTTTAAAGTTTCACTCCAGGTCTCACGATTGCTTTTTGCACAGTATATCCTTTCATCCTTTTATTGTAAATACATTTTTATTTCTGATTCTGAAGTACCTCCCTTGTAAACATATAGCTGGATATTGATTTTATTCATTGAAACTCATAATCTTTGACTTTTAATTATATTGTTTAATCTATTCACATTTAATGTTGTAACTGATATGTGGGAGTGATATCTAATATATCATCCATATTTCTATCTCTTTCTATATCCTTCATGTGTCTTTGCACTTCTGTTTCCTTTTAACTGTTTCATATTAAGTGGATATATTCTAGTATAATACTTAATTCTTTTAGTGATTTTTAATAATATTGCTTAGATATTTTCTTAGTGATGGTTTCAGGTGTTAAATATGAATATTAACTTCCATACAATTTAGATTATACTGACTTAGCTCCAGTGTAACACAGCAGTTTTATTTCTGTTTTATTTCTGTAGAGCTTAATTCCTCCCCTCCTTTTTGTATGTTATCATCTCATACATAGTGGGCCCATAGGTGTTACAACCCCAACAAACATTATTAGTTACCATTTCTATTTCTCTTCATTTCTCTCTGGAGATCTGATACAAGGGCCAGGCATGGTGTCTCACGCCTATAATCCCAGCAATTCAAGAGGCCGAGGTGGGCGGATCACTTGAGGTCAGGAGTTGGAGACCAGCCTGACCATCATGTTGAAACCCTGTCTCTACTAAAAATACAAAAATTAGCTGGGCATGGTGGCAGGTGCCTGTAATCCGAGCTACTCAGGAGGCTAAGGCAGGAGGCTGCAGTGAGCCTAGATCATGCCACTGCACTCCAGCCTAGGCGACAGAGTGAGACTCCATCTCAAAATAAAAATTAAAAAAAAAAAAGGATCTGATACAAGTTCTTCACTCCAATGTAGTATGCTTTGTTTCCATCCACATTCTTTGTGCTGTTATTGTCAAATACATTGTATTTTTATGTTAATGGCTCAATAAATATAAATATGTAAATGTTATTTCATACAATTGCTTTGAAAATCAACTGAAAAAAGAGTAGAAGAAATATCAATTATACTGCATCTTGTATTTTTTATAGTGATCTGTGTAACTATATAATTATATTTTATAGTGATCTGCATAATTATCTTTACCAGTATTCTGCTTTTTATCATGTGATTCTTTTTTCTTTAGACAGAGTCTCACTCTTGCCCAGGCTGGAGTGCAGGGGCATGGTTTTGGCTCACTGCAACCTCCGCCTCCTGGGTTCAAGTGCTTCTCTTGCCTCAGCCGCTCGAGTAGCTGGAATTACGGGTGCACACCACCACCCCTGTTAATTTTTGTATTTTTGGTAGAGAAAGAGTTTCTGCATGTTGGTCAGGCTACTTTAGAACTCCTGACCTCAAACGATCCACCCGCCTCAGCCTCCCAAAGTGCTGGGATTACAGGTGTGAGCCACCATGTCCGGCCTATCATGTGAATTTGAATTGCTGTCTACCTATCACTAGCTCTCAGCCTGAAAACCTGCTTGCCTATTTTGTGTTAGCTGGGATTGACAACAACACATTCACTCAGCTTTTGTTTATCTGGGAATGTCTCTCTTTTGTCTTCAGTTTTGAAAATCATTTTGTTGTACTTAAGATCTTTGCTGACAGATTTTTTTTTGGCTGGTTTTAATTTTAACATTTAACATATTATTCCATTGCCTTCTGACATGTATTTTTTTCTAGTTGGAAATTCACTGTTAACTTGGGCTTTCATTACAAATGATAAATAGTTTTCTTCTTGCTATTTTCAAGATTTTCTCTCTCTCTTTGGCTTTCAACATTTTACTTGATGTGTCTGATTTGGATCTCTTTGTTTTCATCCTATTGTACTGTGTTGAGCTTCTGGGTTTGTAATTCCTGTTTTTCATCACATTGAAAAGGTTACAATCGCTTTATCATTAAATATTGCTTCTTTTCCTTTCTTAGTCTTCACTATCTCTCTATCTAAACTTATATGTGTGTATACATATATATATTTACATATATGTGTATGTGTGTGTGTTTGTATATACATTACAAATACATATTTGTATGCAGACAATGAACCTCACTGACTCATATGTGTCCAAAATTCAGAGCAACAAAAAACAAAACAAAGCAGAAAAAGTGTGTTTTTATTGCTATTATTGTCTCTTATTTTAAAAATTGAAATAATGTCAGCTCTTAATCTTCTGCATTAAATGCCATCGAAATGGTATAACTCAGAATATTCTTTTAAAAAAACAACAATTCAAGCTCTTAGAATCTGATCAATATCTCTGAGTGTTACTAGCCTAAGGGAGAAATCTTAATCTACATCATAGTGCTAAAATGTCATAGCTCTTTGACATTAAAAGCTTCCCCAGTTTTCTAAAGAGAATTATCCCAGTGATAGGGCAAGGTTCTCTTATTTGTCAGATCCTGTACAACTTTAAAGATTAGATGTCAGGGACATAGTGCCATAGAGATTCCTCCATGCCTCTCTGCCACCCCTCACAAGCAACTGTCTCTCTATTATACTCTGCTTAGGGAATCTCCCTTTTATAAACAACTGTATTGTTTTCTATTGCAGCTATAAGCACTTACAACAAACTTTCTGGCATAAAACAACACAAACTTATGACCTTACAGATCTGGAAGCCAAAGGTCCAAAATATGTCTCACTGTGCTAAAATCAAGGTGTCCACAGGGATGCATTCATTTTTGGAAACTCTAGGGAAGAATCTGTTTTCTTGCCTTTTCCAACTTTGAGAGGCTGCCCAGATTCTTTGGGTCATGATCCCATTTTATCCTGAAAACCAGCTATGGACAATTGAGTCTTTCTCACATTGCATCACTGTGATACTAACTCCCCTAACTCCCTCTTCCATATTTTAGGGATCCTTGTGATACATCATGCCTACCCAGATAATCCAGTATAATCTTCATTTTTAAAGGCCAAATTCCCTCTGAACCCTTAATTCCCTTAAGCGATGTAACACAATAACATATTCACAAACTCCAGAGATTAAGAGCTGGATATCTTTGGGGGCCTCTTATTTTGCTTACTGCAGTACTTTTGACTTTCTCCCACACATTTTTCTAAACAGAAACATTGGTATTTGATTAAACTTGAGGAATGGATTGTTCAATACTACCTCAAGTGAAAGTCCTGTTTAAGTCACCTAATGCTTTTACAATAAATAACATTTGGTCTAATGGTCCAGATTTAGAAATTCAGTAGATTTCTAAATCAGACCTAGAAATTCACTTTGGCATTCATGCATGTTTCAGAACTATGATATTCAGAAACTCAAATATTTCTACCCTTGATTTGTATTTCCTGAGTTGATGTTTTTATTTTAGATCATATCAGTTTCAGTTTTTTATATTCTTACTTTAAGTATAGCCATCTATAGTCTTGTGAAATTTTCATAAATCACATTTTTTTTTTCAGAGTGGGAAAGCAAACTGTATGTTTGAAAAGAGGATTTGAAAAAAAGGCAAATGGAAATTTGACAGTAAATGCATTTAATGGGAAAAGAAAAATATGCCATATTTACTTACTTAATACCTGGTATGATTTGGTTGTGTCTCCACTCAAATCTCATCTTGAACTATAGCTCCCACAGTTCCCACATGTTGTGGGAGGGAACTGTTAGGAGGTAATTGAATCATAGGGGTGGGTCTTTCCCATGCTGTTCTCATGATAGTGAATAAGTCTCATAAGATCTGATAAAGAGGTGTTTCCCTAAACAAGTTCTCTTCTTTTGTCTAACGCCATGTGAGACATGCCTTTCACCTTCCACCATCATTGTGAGGCCTCCCCAGCCACGTGGAACCGTGAGTCCATGAAACCTCTTTCTTTTGTAAATTGCCCAGTTTCAGGCATGTCTTTATCAGCAGCAGCATGAAAACAGACTAATACAATACCCATCCCCCTTTATTTAGGTTATGTGATATAGTAATAGGAATGAATGAGCATGTGATTCCTCATTTACTTCCTGCATTGAGAAATTTTATTAACCATTAAATCCTTGTCTCCCCTCAATTTTTACTAAAACCAATAATTTTACAAATGTTTAAAAATATCTCAGGCAGAGATCATTAAGAAGATCTTCCATATTTTCTTTAATGATTACTTTTATTCTGATAAATGTCACTGCTTTAGGAAGGCTTTGAAAATTCCCATAGTGTGTGTAGGTATATTCACATATTTTTTAAAGGAGGCAAATTCATGAGATTAATTAAACATTTCACTTCATTTTATGTTTCAATATTAACATGTCTTGTCAAAGGAGCTAAAAGTTGGGCAACTGTTATAATAACAAAGTCCTATTTGTTTTTGTTGTTGTTGTTGTTAACAAATAACTCGTCATATTAGTCCATTTTCATGCTGTTTATAAAGACATACCTGAGACTCGGAAGAAAAGGAGGTTTAATTGGACGTACAGTTCCACATGGCTAGGGAGGCCTCAGAATCATGGCAGGATATGAAAGGCACTTCTTACATGGCGGCGGCAAGAGAAAATGAGGATGCAAAAGCAGAAACCCCTGATAAAACCATCAGATCTCAGAAGACTTATTCACTATCATGAGAACACTATGAAGAAAACCATCCCCATGATTCAAATTATCTCCCACCAGCTCCCTCCCACAACACTTGGGAATTATGGGAGTACAATTCAGGATAAGATTTGGGTGGGAACTCAGAGCCAAACCATGTCATTTGGCATTTGTAAATATTTGCATAGGGAGAATTAGAAAAATGATAATTTACCTGTTATGGTCTGAACATTTGTACCTTTCCAAAATTCACATGTTGAAACCCTAATCCCCAAAATGATGGTATTAGGAGGTGGGGCTTTCGGGAAATGATTAGGTCATTGGAGTAAAGCCCTCATGAATGAAATAAGTGACTTTATAAAATAAGTCTGAGAGAGACCTCCCCCCAAGCTGTTCCGCCATTTGAATTTATAGTAAATAAACAGATGTCTATGGACCAGCAAGTAGGCTGGCCCTCACCAGATACCTAATCTGCTGGTGCCTTGAAACTTCCCTGCCTCTAAAACTATGAAAAATAAATGTCTGTCATTTATAAGCTACATAGTATGTATCAATTTATTACAGCAATTCAAACAGACTAAGAGAAAATTAGTACTAAAGAGTGGGGGTGCTCTATGCTATAACATATACCTAAACATATGGAAGTGGGGATGTTTTGGGATTGGGTAGTGGGTAGAGGCTAAAAGAGTTTCAAAGTGCATGGTAGAAAAAGTCAACACAGCTCTGAAAGGATCTTTAGAATGTGAGTCTGGTGTGAGCTCTGAAGGAGAGGAGAAAAGCTGTAGAGAAAGCTGGAATTTTCTTAGAGACTAAATAGTTAAGAATATAATGCTGGCAGAAATAAGCTTGGTAAAGGTCACACTGATGAAGTTTCAGGTTGAAATGAGGAACATGTTATTGGAAAATGGAGGAAAGGTCACTCTTGTAATAAAGGAGTAAAGAATTTGGCTGAATTTTCCTCATGTTTTCAGGAAAGTAGAAATTGTAAGCATTGAAGTAGAATATTTGGCTGAGGAAATTTCTGAGCAAAGTATTGGAAGAGTGGCCTAGTTCCTCTTGCCTGCTGATAGTAAAATGTGCGAAGAGAAAAATGATTTAAAATTGATTGTAATCAAAAGGGAAGCAGAACTTCAAAATCTTGAAAAAAATTCAGCCTATCTACATTGGAAAACATGAGGAAACCTGTTTGGGAGAGAACAAGTGTGGGCCAACCAACTGTTGGATAAGTAGATTAGTATGGATAGGCCACCTCAATGGAAGGTAGGTGCTATTCATCAAAAATAATGAAAGGGTTATGCTGCCATCTAAACAGAAGCCAGGGCTTATTGTAAAAGGCAATGGAAGAATGACCCTGAAGGCATTTTAGAGATTGTCTATGCTGCCATTCCCATCACGAGCCCAGAATTCCAGGGTCTGGGGGGCAGAAGTTTATCAAAAGAGAGACCACCACTGATTATAACAGCCTCCTCACATTGCAGTCTCCACTCCCCGCACTCTGCAGTTCTCCTCCTCAGTCACCCCACCAGTGAAATCAGCAGCCTTAGCGAAGTGTGTATTTCACCCAGGAAAGCAGAGGGGATGTGACTAGATTTCAAAGGATGCCCTGAGAGAGCTAGAAGAAGGTCCAGGCAGAGAACTGCCATAGGGATGGGCCCACTTCAGAGAACTGCCATGGGGACAGGCTATCACAGAGAGCACCAACTAAGGTAATGCCAGCAGAGCCATGGGGGCAAGGCTGCCTCCATGAACCCAGATTTCAGCACTGGAGAGCTGCAGCCCTTACAATTTGATATATATTGCCCTGTTGGTGTTGGACTTGATCTGGGCCTGTGTGTATATGGATGCACATACATACATGCATGCATCCATATCTATATCTACATAAACATATATACATATAAATAATATCAGATTTTCAGCAAACATGAGGTGTGTGTATTTTAGTTCCTTGCATGTCATCTCAGAAATTGAGGTCACAGGAATAGATTAAAACAGGCTCTTTTTTGTCTTCAATATTTTATTCTCAGAAAAATCTTACTTAACTACTCTACACCCTGATCTATATTCTCTTCATGTTGTCAATGATTATGTTGTACTCCCAATTTCCAGGACAGCAGAACAGATATGCTTTTTTTTTTCTTTGTGCTTTAAATGCTACAAATGAAAATTACTGGTTTAAGACACAGTTTAATTTGTAATCACATTTGGCTTTGCCAAATTAATGAGTATATTCTAATTGATAAATGCTGCAATTTTTTTCATACTAAACACTTGTCTCTTTCTATCCACAATTTTATTTCTAAAATGTTATGTTTTAAAGCAAAGCTTCAAAAAATAGGTGTTTCTGTATGAGTGGTATATGTATGCAAGTCTATGTGTTTAATTTTTTTCCAAAGGAAAAATTAAGTGTTCCTAATTTTGTGCTTGAAATACAGAAATACATTTTTTTTTGCATACAGATGTCTACTTCTAAAACTGATAAGCCCATGTGTCCTTTTTTTAACCTAAATCAGCTTATAATATCGTTGATCATACCACATTGCTAAAGGTCAAAGCACTTTTTAACAGATGTATAGGTACTTTAATGTCAAGTCAGAAAGAAACATGCTCCCTTATTATAAAATATTTACTAACAGATAAAATATAACACCCACACAGATACTGAAATGTTGTTCTAATGATTAGCCATCCTTTTATTAATTAGTTTATTTTTGAAGCCCTTTGTATAAAGATGGCTAGATCCCCGGAAAGCTGGTAAACTTTTTAGATTTATTTTTATCTATAATCACATCCAAAAACATTGCCAGATGTATTAGGCTGTTGTTGCACTGCTATAAAGAAATACCTGAGACTAGGTAACTTATAAGAAGAGATGTTTAATTGGCTCACGGTTCTGCAGGCTGTGTAGGAAGCATAGTGATATCTGCTTCTGGAGAGGCCTCAGGGAGCTCTTAGTCGTGGCATAAAGTGAGGCAGGACCAGGCCCGTCACGATGAGACCAGGAGCAAGAGAGAGATGGGCGGAGGCACTACGCACCTGTAAACAATGAGATCTTGTGAGAATTCACTCACTATCACAAGAACAGCACCAAGGGGATGGTATTCATGAGGGATCCACCCCCATGATCCAATCACCTCCCACCACACTCCACCTCCAACATTGGGGATTACAGTTCAACATGAGATTTGGGTGAGGTCACATATCCAAATTATATCACCAGATTAGGATTTTTGTTTTGTTTTAAGCAGTCTTTATATTCAAGGACAAGTGAGGAAGACTTCCTCAAATAGTTTTTGTTTTAAGTAATCTGACCTAATTTGGGGAAAGAAATGAGAAGTTCTTCTACAAAAGTGATTGATTCTCCACTAAATTGTTATAGTTTCATGAATCCTAAAAATGGGTTTATGCTATAGAGATTTGATATCTCCTGTACACCACTCTCAGGTTGGCCCTCTCCATTACAAGGCAAGGAAGGGGAGGAAATGGACTCAAATCTCTCAGCCTCACCTCTATCCTTTCTGACTCCAAGAGGTGATGGAGAGAGGAAGGAAAGGAAAGAGAAGGCAAGCATGACAAAACTTCTCTACCTTTGAGTCATTTTTAAAGCCACAAAAGGTGGAATTCAGCTATCTTCATCAGCAAAATGAGATGGGTGATGAGTGGGTTGGCCAGATGACAAATTGCTAAGCATCTCTCTCACTAAATGTTGTATACGTAACCTCCACAGCTCCAGCAAGCTCTCAGGAATATAACCCAAGGGTCCATGCATATAAGCTAAGGAAATTTTATAATATTTCTCCATTTACTTCTCATATCTTCAACAATAAGTTATATGAGGTACCTGCCAAAAGCAGAGGTAACTTCTATTTTTTAGTATTTTAAAATAATTAACAAAGTATACATTTTATAAAACTAAGAGATCAAACATTGAATTATTACAATGCTTATCTATTTCCTATTCAAAAAAAATTGCATCATATTATATCTTAACACACTGAGTTTCACATTTTTCTGGGGAAATTTTCTTATGTAGAGTTGTGAGGAGTTTCAGAACCTCACTGTTGGAGGGCAAGTGACCACTGGTTTTGCATGTGACCTACTGTGTTCTGCAAAAGTACAGCACATTGTCTGCACATTTCTAAACATTCATGAATCAAAACGAAGGAACAGTGATTACATCCTTTTATATATTTTTAAAAGGTTTCACTTCTATTAATGACATGAAATATTCAACAGAAAAATTTAAAAATTATTTCACACGAGAGATATATGCATTTCATATTTCTTATATTGTAATAAATAAAATAGGTTTTGTGGAGAATGGTAAACACAATATTTGTTGTGACTTTCTTGACTTTAATAGTCAATACTAAATTTACTTAGCTTTTATTATAGGCTTTTTCCACAAAAAGAAGAAAGAATTA
This sequence comes from Homo sapiens, assembly GCF_000001405.40. NCBI lineage: Eukaryota > Metazoa > Chordata > Mammalia > Primates > Hominidae > Homo > Homo sapiens. Next base: position 20,735,566 of record NC_000005.10, on the reverse strand, counting down.
TTATGTGACTATTTGAGTGTCAAGGGGCTTGCTTCAGGTGTATAAGAGGGAATTGTCTAAGCTTAATTTCTCTTTAATTTTTCTGAAAATATTTTACACAGGATCAAGAACATCTTGATAAAGAAAAGAGAGTGTTCTTGTGCAAATGCAAATAACGACATAAAAATCATCTCCCTTGTCAGCGAGAAATGTTCTACTCAGACAGAAAGTAAATGTTTGCCTACAATATCTCATACTTAGAAATGGATTGGATATAAATACATCAAATTTCCATTCTATAAATTATCCACATGAAGTCCTAATATTTACCTCCATTATGCATTGCTGGAGTAATAGGAAGTACACACAGCCAAAGTTATGTTTATTGAAACCTCTTTTGTTACTTCTGCAATCTACCTTATCAAGAAGAGTCTTGCATAAGAACCTTGGTGGCAATAGCTCTGAAGTGATCATCTGATCCAAATATATATTTACTGCATTAAATACATTTTATTTAACTCAGAAAATTAAAAATATACAAAATGCAGATTACAAGTATTAGGGAGGATGTGGAGAAAAGGGAAAGCTTGTATTTTGTGTGTGAAACTGTAAATAGTACAACCACTACAGAAAACTGCATGGAGGTTCCTCAAGAAGCTAAAAATTAAATTACCATATGATCCAGCAATCTGATTTCTGAGTGTATGTCTAAAATACATGAAATCAGCATGATGAAGAGATATCTGCACTTCAGATATTGAAGTATCATTCATAACAGCCAAGTTACGGAATCAACCAAGTGTCCATCAGAGATGAATGAATAAAGAAAAGGTGGTATATATATACAATGGAATATTATTCAGCATTAAGAGAGGGAAATTCTGTCATCTGCAACAAAATGAATAAACCTGGAAGACCAATATGCTTTGGCCCTGTGTCCCCACTCAAATCTCATCTAGAATTGTAATCCCCACATGTCAGGGGTGGAGCCTGATGGGACGTGATTGAATCAGGGGGGCGGACATCCCCCTGGCTGTTAGCATGATAGCGATAGAGTTCTCACGAGATCTAATTATTTGAATGTGTGTGGCACTTCCCGTTTTGTGCTCTCTCCTGTCACTATGTACCTTGCTTTCTCTTTGCCTTCCGCCATGATTGTAACCTTCCTGAGTCCTCTCCAGCCATGAACTATGAGTCAATTAAAACTTCTTTTTTTTATAAGTTACCCAGTCTCAGGTAGTTCTTCATAGCAATGTGAAAATGGACTAATACAGAAAACTGGTACCGGGAAAGTGTGGCACTGCTACAAAGATACCTGAAAATGTGGAAGTGACTTTGGAACTGGGTAACGGGCAGAGGTTGGGAGAGTTTGGAGGGCTCAGAAGAAGACAGGAAGATATGGGAAAGTTTGGAACTTCCTAGAGACTTGTTGAATAGTTTTGATCAAAATGTTGATAGTGATATGGACAATAAAGTCCCGGCTGAGGTAGTCTCAGATAGAGATGAGGAACTTATTGTGAACTGTAGTAAAGGTCACTCTTTCTATGCTTTAGCAAAGAGACTGGTGACATTTTGCCCCTCTCCTAGAGATCTGTTAAACTTTGAACTTGAGAGAGATAAGTTAGGGCATCTGGCAGAAGAAATTTGTAAGCAGAAAGGCATTCAAGATTTGACCTGGTGGTTTCTTTTTCTTTTCCTTTTTTTTTTTTTTTTTTGAGATGGAGTCTCACTCTGTCACCCAGACTGGAGTGCAGTGGTGTGATTTTGGCTCACTGCAACCTCTACCTCCCAGGTTCAAGCGATTCTCCTGCCTCAGCCTCTCAAGTAGCTGGGATTACAGGCATGCACCACCACGCCCTGACCTGGCAGTTTCTAAAAGTGTACAGTCACATGCATTCACAAAGAGATGGTTTGAAATTGGAATTTATGTTTAAAAGGAAAGAAGACATTAAAAGTTTGGAAAATTTGCAACTTGACCATGTGGTTAAAAAAATAAAAACCCATTTTCTGGGGAGAAATTCAGGCTGGCTGCATAAATTTGCATAAATCAAGAGGATCCTGATGTTAATCTCCAAGAAAATGAGGAAAAAGTCCTCAGGGCATTTCAGAGATCTTCACGGCAGCACCTCCCATCACAGTCCTAAAGGCCTAGAAGGGAAAAATTGTTTCTTGGGTTGGGCCCAGGTCCTCACAGCCTTGGGACGTGAAGACCTGTGTCCCAGCAGCTCCAGCTCCAGCCATGGCTCAGACCACTGCTTCAGAGGGTGCGAGCCCCAAGCCTTGGCAACTTCCACATACTGCTGGGCCTGCAGGTGTGCAGAAGACAAGAATTGAGGTTTAGGAACCTCCACCTAGATTTCAGATAATATAGGGAAGTGCCTGGATATCCAGGCAGAAGTGTGCTGCAGGAATGGAGCTGTCATGGAAACCTCTATGAGGGCAGTGCACAGGAGAAATGTGGGTTGGAGCCCTCACACAGAGTTCCTACTGGGGCACTGCCTAGGGGAGCTGTGAGAAGAGGGCCACAGTCCTATAGAACCCAGAATGATAAATTCACCGATAGCTCGCCCTGGCTGCCTGGAAAAGCTGTCGGCACTCAATGCCAATCCATGAAAGCAATCAAAGGGGCTGTATCTTGCAGAGACACAAGAGTAGAATTGCCTAAGGCCTTGAGAGCCCACTTGTTGCATCAGCATTCCCTGGATGTGAGACATGGAGTCAAAGGAGATTATTTCAGAGCTTTGAGACTTAATGACTGTCCTGCTGGGTTTTGGATTTGGATGGGGCCCATAGCCCCTTTGTTTTGACCAATTTCTCCCTTTTGGAACAGGAGTATTTACCCAACGCCTGTAACCCCATTGTAACTAATCTGTTTTTAATTTTACAGGCTCATAGGTGGAAGGGACTTGTTTGTCTCAGAAATATTTTGGACTGGACTTTTGGTTTAATGCTGGAATGAGTTAAGACTTTGGGGAACTCTTGGGAAGGCATGATTGGCTTTGAAAAGTGAGAAGAACATGATATTTTAAAGGGGTCAGGGGCAGAACAATATGGTTTGGCTCTGCGTCCCTGCCCAAATCTTATCACAAATTGTAATTCTAACATGTTGGGGGAGGGGCCTGGTGAGAGGTAATTGAATCATGGGGGCACACTTCCCCTTTTCTGTTCTTGTGATAGTGAGTGAGTTCTCATAAGATCTGGTGGCACTTCCCCCTTCATACTCTTTCTCTCCTGCCACCATATAAGATGTGTCTTGCTTCCCCTTTGTCTTTTGCCATGATTGTACATTTCCTGAGGCCTCTCCAGCCTCAGGAACTGTGTGTCAATTAAACCTCTTTTCTTTACAAATTACCCAGTCTCAGGTAGTTCTTTATAGCAGTGTGTAAAAGGACTAATACAAAGACATTATGCTAAGTGAAATAAGCCAGGCACAGAAAGACAAATACCATATGTTCTCACTTTTATGTGGACTCTATAATAGTTGAATTCTAGACGTAGAGAACAGAATAGTTACCAGAGATTTAGGAGTGAGAGGAATGAAGAGATATTGTTGAAAGAGTGCAATGTTTCTGTGAGACAGGAGAAATAAATGGTAATTATTAGAGGCGATGGGTATGAACTTGATTTAGTCATTCCAAATTGGATGCATATATTAAAGCATAACTCTATACCCTATAAATGTAAGTGATTATAATCTGTCAATATTCAATATAATATATATACACATATATGTAATTATATACAGATACCTATAATATATAGAAAATGCATCTACTGAGACTGAATGAACCTTTATTTAAACTGGAAGCTGTAAAATTGATCAATATAATTATATATAATGATATATAAAGGTTATAGTGGGCCTATTGGGTCTTCTAATAACAACCTCTATATTTCTCCCCACTAAATAATGAGTATTAATCAGAGTGCCTAATGGAATAATTTTAGTCCAATCAATTATTTTCTTCAGCATCTAATTTTCTCATATTCCATAATGTCTTGTTTTCATGCATATTTTTTTCCTTCATGACCATTATACTAAATTTTAGTTATTTTATGTGCACTTGTTCCAAGCACATTTTCTTAAATATCTGTTCCTTATCTATTGATTTCTATTGAAATTTTTATTTTCCTCCAAAATGGCATCTGGGAGTTCATATGTTTGGACTATTTTTATCCTCATTGCTGTTTGTCTTCATTTGTCTTTTTCTCTGATCACTATTATATATATATACACACACACACATACATACATACATATATAAATATATATGTGCATATATATTTCCCAGCATTTAATACATTTAATATCCCTTAGTGGATAGGGATGACAACTTACAAATTTAAATACTTTTTTTTATAAAGGAGTCATTTTTTTCTATTGAATTTAAGCTAAAACGTGATCCCTCAGTTCTGTAGGCCATTGCACTTTCAATATAGCATTATTAAATCCAAATCATTACATAGCAATAAGCAAATAACTACACCCATAAGAAGAATGCCCATATAATTGAGCAAAAGAACACTTTGCCCTGGAGCCTGTGCTTTCAAGGGCTCCACTATGGTCCTCTCTCTGGCCACATTCCTCCCCAAAGTACAAGGAGTTTACCAGGTCCAAGGGGATGAGGTTAGTTGGAGGTGATGCTGCTCACCCCCACCTACCACCTTTGAGATCATGCTGTAGAACATAAAGACTTAGAATTCTGTCTTCAAAGGGTTTTGAGACTGCTTCCAGCATCCATGTTCCTCTCCACCAGTTCTGTCTTTCATGGTGAACCACGTATACAGAGTGCACAACTAGAGGCCCTGTGGGCCAATGGGAAGCTTTTTGCTAGAGCTACAGTGGTAGACTGAGTTTCAACATATCAACAGAGGTACCCAAAACGTATAAACACAAGGCCTCTCACGGTGTGAGACCAGGTCAGGGCACCGGCTCTCTCTATGTCCTCATATTCTGTGCTGGATGTTGACGGCCCAAGAATTCTAGTTCCAAACCTGAATTTCATTGAGAAGGTATATGTGTCAAAGTGAGAGAACACAGCATACTTTATTTTAACAGTTTGTTAACTTGATTTATAACTTTTAAATATGCAAACATACACTATATAGGTTTTGATTATTATCCTTGCCCTAGGCCTTAAGAATGTTAAGTTTAAGACAACTGAATATTTTATTAGATATAAGAATGCAACCACATATACTCAAAAACATAAATGTCAAACTAGTAGTCCCTACTTCTAAAATATAATGAAATATTCCATTTAACATTATATTTAGAGTGGCTCCCTTATGGAATCATGACATCTTTGCTGATTTAGTTACAGTTGAACTAAGTATTTTGCCTGAAATCAACACTTTATTTTTCAAAACTCCCAAGATATAGTGTGTGACAGATATGTCTTCCACTTATTTTTTTAACCTAGGCTTTATTAATAAGACAAATTATTAGTCACAAATAAAACCTTAAAAACAGTTCAGCCTCATTTACAACTATTTAGTTGTTTACCTAAAATATCCTACATTATACACACACAGGCGCACACACACATATTTCTAATAGAAACTATAAGAAGCAGCTTCGACAAATCAAGAGGACATTATGTTACGTAAAATAAGCTAAGAACAGAAAGTTAAACACTGCATGTTCTCACTCATATGTGGAAACTAAAAAAAAGTTGATCTCAGAGGAGGAAAAAGTAGAATGGAATATACTAGAGACAGGGAAGGGTGGGATGAGAGAAGGATAAAGAGAGATTTGTCAAGGGATACAAAATTACAGCTAGAGACAAATAAGTTCTAGTGTTCTATAGCATTGTGGGATGACTGTAGTTGACAATAATATAGTTTCAAATTGCTAGAAGGGGTATACTGAATGTTCCCATCACAAAGAAATGATAAATTTTGACATGATGGATACGAGAATTACACGAATCTGTTAATTATTCATTGTATGTATCGAAATATCACTACATACCCCATAAATATGTACAATTATCACGTCAATTTAAAAAATATAATAATTAAGAAAAAATACAAAACATTAAATATCGGTGATAGTAGATTTGCCCTCTCAAATATTAAAACATTTGATAAATTTACATAGTTAAAATAGAGGGTAAATATAGAAAAATAATAAAAATTGTGATGAAATCTTGGTGATAACTTGACAGTGCTACTTTGAATGTTAAGAATAGTGTAGCTGGCTGGGTGCAGTGGCTCATGCCTGTAATCCCAGCACTTTGGGAGGCTGAGGTGGGTGGATCACCTGAGGTCGGGAGTTTAAGACCAGCCTGACCAACATGGAGAAACCTGTCTCTACTAAAAATACAAAATTAGCCGGGCGTGTTGACAGATGCCTGTAATCCAAGCTACTTGAGAGGCTGAGGCAGGAGAATCACTTGAACCCAGGAGGCGGAGGTTACGGTGAGCTGAGATTGTGCCACTGCACTCCAGCCTGGGCAACAGAGGGAGACTCCATTTCAAAAAAAAAAAAAAAAAAAAAAAATATATATATATATATATATATATATATATGGTGTAGCAGAACCAAAATTTAACAGGTGCAAACCTTTAAATAAGTGTATCCTCTCTAAATGATTTAAACTTGTTATGGATAATCAAGGTCATAATGTTTGGGACATAAATGCCTGTATACTTATACCAAAATATATCAGCAGTTACAATTAAAATGATCTTACATATTATTTGTCATATCAGGACTATTACTATTACTATAGTTACTATTTTTATTATGCTGAAGGTATATGATAAATTTTGAGATGTGATTGATGGATGCTTAGGTTTGAAGAAGCAAAATTAGAGAAAGAGCTAAAGGTGTCTCTGATATCTTCCTTTCTCCCTGGATATGGGCTCTGTAACTACTACATTCAAATATAATCTGGAATATCTAAGGTCCTTTCTTCACAATCTTCCACAAGGGACTGAGAATCATAATGAGACACATTAATGAAGCCTAGTTATCATCTGATAATACTGTCATTAACATTTATTATCACATAATTAGATTGTGCATTAGCCATTTCTCAGAGCCACTTTAAAAGGAAAAAAAAATATGAGGACATATATGAGAACAAACACTGTAAGGAGTGCCTGTATAGTGATAATGTTTCGGAGTGAATGAGACATTTTATCACCTGGCATATTAACAGTGTGAAAGGACAGGGATCATATCAACCTCTCCCCTTCTTCTCTCTATCCTTTACATATTAGTTACTTGTTAAATCTTCTACCTTCTCAAACTGGAGCAATTATCTTAGCAATGACAGTTTTAGTGATGGGAGGAAATCATAATAGCTGTGGGTAATTGTTAGAAAGAATCATCACAGCTCTGAACTTTATAGGTCATGATATCTCTGTAGCTTGTGGGTTTAGCTGCATTTTGAAAAAGATAACTGTGTCTCCCTTAGCATCTTTCTTCTTCCTATTTTTTCTTTTAAGTTTACAAAGGTCAGATGCCAGTATGATCTAGAATAAGAGGTTTTGTGGCTGACTTTGAAAGGTTACTTTAGAGAAAAATCTCATGAAGCAGCAGTACCCCACAGTGCTGCGGGGAATGTGGCTAAAATCTTGTTACATCCTAATGGAGCTTCTAACACATTAGACATATAGAGCATCAGATTCCAGAATGTGTCTGAGGGATTTAGTCTCTAGTTACTAAAAGGAAACAAAGAGGCATCTCAAGGTTAGAGTTACACTGACAAGGTCATATTCATGGGACATCAAAGCAATGTGGAAATCAATTCTACCATCATAGCAAAGCCTGAAGTGCCTGTGTAATGATTAATTAGAATAATAATTGAAATGCAACATAATTATGATAAAGAATGAAATGCCAGGGGCTTCTTTTCTCTATGGACTACAATACCATAGTGAATTGGGCCTTTCAAAATCCAGAAACTTTTTATTGGCTGTTTGTTTCACGAAAGCAGAAATACTCCAGGATGTGTTTTCAATAATTAAGGTAATCTTTATAATACATATTTTTCTTTAGCCCAGCTGACTATCCAAATGAGTGAGTGTTTGGTGACTAATGTAAATAGCTGTATGAACCAATTCCAGATATTTTAGCTGTGAATGACTTGATGATAATTATAATAGAAGCAAAATGAGTGTTCCTCATTTTAATGTGACCTAATAACACCATATCATTTAAGACAATATTTATTTTTTAGTATAATATGAACTGGTCCTAATTCTGAGGTATGCTCATACCTTAGAGTATCAACACTAGAGAGTTATTACAATTAATGACTGGCTTTCTATTGTGTTAGAGCCAATTAAATTTTTTTTTCAAAATTCTCTTCTGCAAGTCATTTCTGAGGTCTCCTTGCAAACCATTTGCACAGTCATAACATCTATACAAGTATTTGCTTATCACCTTGGCCAGAAAAATCTCTTTTCAAGGCTGCTTCACAGGGTTTCTTGAGTATGCATGAGTCAACACACATGTTCATAGAGGAGAAGATTGTGCTGATTTGCTCTACACCAACGTTCTGTTAAAGGTGGACCCAAGTCGCTTCTGTCACTGATCAGAATACCGCTTATAATCAAATAAAATAAAAACAAAAAATTTAAAATACTTAGCCTAGACCTGGCTGCAATATCTAACAAAACTTTCCTGGAGGCTTAAGTATTAAGCGAAGTACAATACAGAAAGTGGCTTCCTTGAAGAGATCCTTCACATCCCTTGTAAGTTGGATTCCTAGGTATTTTACTCTCTTCGTAGCAATTGTGAATGGGAGTTTACTCATGATTTGGCTCTCTGTTTGTCTGTTATTGGTGTATAGGAATGCCTGTGATTTTTGCATATTGATTTTGTATCCTGAGACTTTGCTGAAGTTGCTTATCAACTTAAGGAGATTGTGGGCTGAGACGATGAAGTTTTCTAAATATACAACCATGTCATCTGCAAACAGGGACAATTTGCTTCCTCTTTTCCTAATTGAATACCCTTTATTTCTTTCTCTTGCCTGATTGCCCTGGCCAGCACTTCCAACACTATGTTAAATAGGAGTGGTGAGAGAGGGCATCCTTGTCTTGTGCCGGTTTTCAAAGGGAATGCTTCCAGTTTTTGCCCATTCAGTGTGATATTGGCTGTGGGTTTGTCACAAATAGCTCTTACTATTTTTAGTTACGTTCTATCAATAACCTAGTTTATTGAAAGTTTTTAGCATGAAGGGCTATTGAATTTTGTTGAAGGCCTTTTCTGCATCTATTGAGATAATCGTGGTTTTTGTCATTGGTTCTGTTTATGTGATGGATTATGTTTATTGATTTGTGTATGTTGAACCAGCCTTGCATCCCAGGGATGAAGCCGACCTTATTGTGGTGGATAAGCTTTTTGATGTGCTGCTGGATTCAGTTTGCCAGTATTTTATTGAGGATTTTTGCATTGATGTTCATCAGGGATATTGGTCTAAAATTCTCTTTTTTTTTTGTTTCGTCTCTGCCAGGCTTTGGTGTCAGGATGAGGTTGGCCTCATAAAATGAGCTAGGGAGGATTCCCTCTTTTTCTATTGATTGGAATAGTTTCAGAAGGAATGGTAACAGCTCCTCTTTGTACCTCTGGTAGAATTCAGCTGTGAATCTGTCTGGTCCTGGACTTTTTTTGGTTGGTAGGCTCAAAATACCAATGACTTTCTTCACAGGATTGGAAAAAACTACTTTAAAGTTCATATGAAACCAAAAAGGAACCTGCATTGCCAAGACAATCCTAAGCAAAAACAAAACAAAACAAACAAACAAAAAACAAAGTTGGAGGCATCATGCTACCCAACTTTAAACTATACTACAAGGCTGCGGTAAACAAAACAGCATGGTACTGGTTCCAAAACAGAGATATAGATCAATGGAACAGAACAGAGCCCTCAGAAATCATACCACACATCTACAACCATCTGATCTTTGACAAACCTGACAAAAACAAGAAATAGGGAAAGGATTCCCTATTTAATAAATGGTGCTGGGAAAACTAGCAACCCATGTGTAGAAAGCTGAAACTGGATCCCTTCCTTACACCTTATACAAAAATTAATTCAAGATGGATTAAAGACTTAAATGTTAGACCTAAAACCATAAAAACCCTAGAAGAAAACCTAGGCAATAACATTCAGGACATAGGCATGGGCAAGGACTTCATGACTAAAACACCAAAAGCAATGGCAACAAAAGCCAAAATTGACAAATGGGATCTAATTAAACTAAAGAGCTTCTGCATGGCAAAAGAAACCACCATCAGAGTGTTAACAGGTAACCTACAGAATGGGAGAACATTTTTGCAATCTACCCATGTGACAGAATCTACAATGAACACAAACCAATTTACAAGAAAAAAACAAACAACCCCATCCAAAAGTGGGCAAAGGAAATGAACAGACACTTCTCAAAAGAAGACATTTATGCAGCCAACAGACACATGAAAAAATGCTCATTGTCACTAGTCATCAGAGAAATGCAAATCAAAACCACAATGAGATACCATCTCACGCCAGTTAGAATGGCAATCATTAATAAGTCAGGAAACAACAGATGCTGGATGTGGAGAAATAGGAACAATTTTACACTGTTGGTGGGAGTGTAAATTAGTTCAACCATGTGGAAGAGAGTGTGGTGATGCCTCAAGAATCTAGAACTAGAAATACCATTTGACTCAGCAATCACATTACTGGGTATATACTCAAAAGATTATAAATCATGCTACTATAAAGACACGTGCACACGTTTATTGCAACACTATTCACAATAGCAAAGACTTGGAACCAACCCAGATGTCCATCAATGATAGACTGGATTAAGAAAATGTGGCACATAGACACCATGGAATACTATGCAGCCATAAAAAAGGATGAGTTCATGTCCTTTGCAGGGACATGGATGAAGCTGGAAGCCATGATTCTCAGCAAAGTATCACAAGGACAGAAAACCAAACACTGCATGTTCTCTCATAGGTGAGAATTGAACAAGGAAATCACTTGGACACAGGGTGGGGAACATCATACACCAGATCCTGTTGGGGGGTGGGGGCCTGGGGGAGGGATAGCATTAGGAGAAATACCCAATGTAAATGACGAGTTGATGGGTGCAGCAAACCAACACGGCACAGGTATACCTATTTATCAAACTTCCACGTTGTGCACATGTACCCTAGAACTTAAAGTATAATTAAAAAAAAAAAAGTGACTTCCCCTAGTAACAAAGGTGATTACTTTCAGGGCCCAAAGGTCCAAGACAAATATCAGGATCCCTGAAAGTTTTCATATGTTCAAGGTCTACTTAATCACAATCTATCAAAATTTTCTGTTTTTATTTTAACTTTAATGCCTTAGTTCACCAGATTCTTCATTTCTTCGTCCTGATTACAAAAGCTTCAATAGTCATGAAAATGTCGTCTTCCTTCAAATTCAAGGATTGTTACCACTCAAAAGTTAGACACAGCACACGTATCCATTTATTTATGTGTGAAGTCCTCTCTCCTATCTGCTGTGGATCATTCAATCTCCAGGTCTCCCAGAGAATATCACAGTATCTTTTCAAAGTCTGAAATAATTCATCACAAAATACAAAACACTATATGTGGGCAACCAGCAGTCTAGTCTAACTCCATTTGAAAACTTAAAATGATTTTCTAAGTCTTTGAAAGCCAATCCTCTTAAAAGTATACTAAAATTCATGTGTTCAGATATACAGTGACTTTATGACTTTTGTTTTCACATGCACACACATATGAGTGCTCTCATACAGGAATAAGTAAATTAATTTACATTTGTATAAACATGGTACTGTTCTGCTGGTTTTCTATTAAGTAAAGGAAGACTCCTAATAGAATGGATGCTTTCTTTGCTAGAAAAAGAATTCATGTGATATTGGCTGATTTGTGTTCCCCCCAATTCATATATTGAATCCCTAAATCTGAGTACCACAGAATGCAACCCATTTGGAGACAAGATATTTAAAGAAGCAATTAAGTAAAAATTAGGTCAATAAGATGAGTTCTAATCCAATATATCTGGTGTCCTTTTAAAAAGAGATTAAGACAGACAGAGACACCAGACAAATGCACACACTAAGAGACAATCATGTGAACACACAGCAAGAAGGCAGCCATCTGCAAGCCAAGGAGAGGCCTCAGCAAAAACCAAACCCGCTGACACCTTGATGTCAGATTTCCCAACTCCAGAACTGTGGGAAAATACATTGCTGATGTTTAAGCCATCCAGTCTCTTGTATTTTGTTGTGGCAGCCCTGGTAAAATAATATGTGGTGCTTAATAGATTTTGAATTAAAATTATCTTAACAAGCATAGTAATACTAACACGAACACTATTTTTTTTCCACCTGGTACCTATTACCTTATATACAGATAATAATATATACAACATATAAAATAATTACTCCATAAATTACAGAAAAATATCACTATCATTGACTCATGTACTTTAACATATGAGTAACTATATTGTAACTTTTTCTTATAGCTTAGATAGAAACTTGAAACCTAGAAAGGTTTGAGTATTTGTTTTTTTTTTAATTTAAATTTAATTAACTTTCTGAAGTTCAAAGTGATGCTTTATATATGACATAATTAATCTCTCACTTGAATTCTATGATGTTGGCAGGGACAATTTTACTTTTCCCGTCATGAATTTTTTTGGTGTGAATTTAAAATAAATAAAATCACCAAAAGAAAAACTGAGAAATAATTACCCACACAGCTGAATCTTTGAGGTACATTGATCAATTCGATTTTATTTTATAGAGTGCCTTTTGTATTGAATAGTCACATTACATAATTTTTGAAAAAAATACTTTTTTGAGCACTTCCTGTGTATAAAGTCTTATGCTAGTTACAACACAAGCATCATTGTTTTCAGCATCACAACACATGCATCATACCTGTGTCTTCCTAATTTACAGACAAAAGGTCCAGAAAATTAAATAATTTGCCTAAGATTGCAAAACTAGTAATCAACAAAACCAATGTTAGGGATTATTCAAATTCTAAACCATGGCTTCTAAGTGTCACACAATATTTTTAAGAAGGGTTAGCCTGAAGGAGGATTCCCAAATGATGAAGCTTAGACATATTGTATGTATCTAAGTACGTTTGTATATACATATTGTACACATTTCTATATATGAAGGTATTCATAATATATAAGCATATGTATACATATATTTGAATGTAAATATGTGTGTATATATACACATATGCATACATATATGTGTGTTTATATATACTTACACATACACACATGGACTTATTTTTCTATGTAATCATGATACATTTTGGAGAAGTGTGGTAAGTTAAAAGTAAAATATTATAGAATATTAAAAAATAATTAAAAGTAAATTTAAGTATTTTACCCAATTTCTTTAAGCACATTAAAGTATACTTCATAAAAAACATAGCAAAATTTCATCACCCTATCCTCCCCTCTCAAAATTAGTAGAATCCCTAAATTACCCTTGAGATCTTCATAGATAGAGTAGGAAATAATGAACTTAACCACTTTAACCAATTAAAAGGAAAAATACAATCAATTCAACTATCATAGAAAATATCCTTTGATAAAGTTCTATACAGATCTTGGTATAAAATGTTTGGATTACTAGAAACAATTTTTTTTTTTTTTACTTGACAAACTGCATCAACTAAAACTTAACATTGCTTCAGAAATAAAATGATAGAACTAATCTCATTAAGTTAAAGAGTAAAATAAACTGACCTAGAATCACTATTTCTCTCTGCATCATCTAGGAGATCCTAGGCACCCAAAATTAAAAGAAATTAGCAAGATCTGATTATCCAGTGATGTATTAGAGTCTGTTGAAATGGGTTAACATTATGTTTATCTGAAGTACCGTCTTATTTCTGGTCAGAAAATGAGCAAATCACGTAGGTGCTTACACTTGCTAAACTGGACACCACAGACCAAAGCTGGGACATAAATCTAGTAGAACAAAATGTCAATATTCATTATTGGTTATAGCTTAATATAGAAGTACAGACACCCACTGATTTTACTCTCTGCACCAGCACATCCTCAACAAAGAATTCAGGGCACACTGTCACAATGGAGGCTACAGCCATTGAAGTTGTGAGCAATACCTATGACTCAGCGGAGAGTTGAAGATTTGAGGAGCTTTCTTTTGGGAGAACCAGAGCTATATGAAATGAAAGGAGAAATAAAAATGTCACTGCAGAAGGAAGAATTAGAATCTTTATTCTAGGATTGGCAGACTGTATCAGTAATTCATGAATATTGTTTGGGAGATGCGTGTGCTTCCAGTCTGAGCCAGCTGGGAAATCATCTGGGTTTTTCTAAAGAATACTGTCCCATTGTCCTCAGAGTGAACCATGAGGACTCTGAGTTCTTAGAGAGGAAAGGAGATTAAACAGCATTAGGATGACATAAATTTTGTTTGAGAATATAGAAATATTATTAATTCCAAAGTTATTAACACTGTCCAATACATTAAGAATAAAACTTGTTCAAGATGATAAATTATTGATAAATATTCGTATGAGAAATAAGTCAGACAACTAGAGATAATATATGTAGGTGGTTGTTTGTTGGTCAAAATTGTGAACACTTGTTAGGATGGATAACTTTATTTGGTGTTCTCAGGACATCCCTATGGGGATTAGAAAGTCTGCATTTTGAAGAGGTGGTAAAATTAAAAAAATTCTTCTTTCATGATAGATTTCTCACCCGCAGGGTATTAGCAAACGTGCTTTAGATTGGAAAGATGATACACACATGCATACACACACATGCTTTCAACTTCACAGACTCAAATGATTTCACAAACTGAAAATTTGTAGCACTCTAATAATGTTTTAGGAAAACTGTATTCTAAAGAAAACAAAACAAATCAATAGTTGCTTGGGTCATAATTACAATGCTTGTCAATTATAAATTCCTGACCTCCATAAATGTCCATTTTTGGTTAATGGACGTAGACTCATAAAGGAATTATGTCACTTGTGTGCTGACTTGCTAGGACTGGCATGACAAAGTATCACAAAGTGAGTGGATTTAATAACAGAAATTTATTGTCTTTTAGTTCTAGAGGATAGAAGTCTAAGATGAATGTGTTGGCAGGGTTGGCTCCTTCTTCGTTTTTTTTTTTTGTTGTTGTTGTTGTTTTAATTGAGTCTCACTCTGTCGCCCAGGCTGGAGTGCAGTGGCGCGATCTTGGCTCACTGCCACCTTTGCCTCCCAGGTTTAAGCGATTCTCCTGCCTCAGCCTCCCAAGTAGCTGGGACTTCAGGCACCTGCCACCAGGCCTGGCTAATTTTTTGTGTTTTTAATAAAGATGGGGTTTCACCGTGTTAGCCTGGATAGTCTCGATCTCCTGACCTCATGATCTGTCTGCCTCAGCCTCCCAAAGTGCCAGGATTACAGGAGTGAGCCACCGCGCCGGGCCCGGGGTTGGCTCCTTCTAAGGGCTGTGAGGAAGAATCTGTTTCATGCTTTTCCCATTGTTTCTAGTGGTTTTCTGGCAATCTTTGCTGTTTCTCCACATCTTTGCCAACACTTGTGTTATCTCTTATCTTTTTTGATAGTAGCCATCATCTCAGGTATGAAGTGTTATCTCATTGTGGTTTTGATTTGCATTACCCTGATGATGAGTCAGACAAAAAAAAGACTAATATTGCAGAATCTCATTTATATGTGGAATCTTAAAAAGTTAAACTTATAGAAGTAGACAGCGGAATGGTGGTTACTAGGGGCATGGACATATAACAAAGAGGGTGGTGTCAGTCAAATGGTATAAATTGCAGTTATAACACCAAAAGCTCAGAGTGTCTGGGTGCTTTCTTGCATTTGAGTACTTTCCTGGTGGCCTGAGAGCATTTCAGATCTCCTGGTGCACCCAGAAGCCAACCCAAGGATCTGGAGAATGGAGCCACAAGCCAGTCTTGTTGTCCCAGGAATTCAGCATGCAGCTTGGGAGTGCCGAGCCAAGATCTGTGGCCATTACTCAAGCAGGGGAGGAGCCAACACTCAGAATAGGTGGGGATTGATGGGGTGGCACAGGAACTGGTTATGTCCCCCTTGACAGGGCCAGTTCAAAAAGTGTGTGGCTTATCCCCATAATACCCCATCTGCCCAAAGAAGCCCCATGGTCCAGAACATCTAATAAAAGAAACAGAGGCGGTTGGGCGCACTGGCTCATGCCTGTAATCCCAGCACTTTGGGAGGCCGAGTTGGGCAGATCACCTGAGGTCAGGAGTTCGATACCAGCCTAGCCAACATGTGAAACCTTGTCTCTACTAAAACCACAAAAAATTAGCTGAGCATAGTGGTGCGCGCCTGTAGTCCCAGCTACGTGGGAGGCTGAGGCAGGAGAATAGCTTGAACCCGGGAGGCAGAGGTTGCAGTGAGCCGAGATTGTGCCACTGCACTCCAGCCTGGGTGACAGAGTGAGACTCCATCTCAAAAAAAAAGGAAAGAAAAGACACAGAGGCATAGTGCCAATGATGAGAGGAGCTCCCCCAAGGACCAGAAGTTGACCTGCTGAGGGGGTCACTTCTCTCCCTCTCACACTGCGGAGCATGGCTGCAAATGCAAGAAAAGACAAAGGAGCTGTGTGACTGAGTAAAGAGCCTATCTACTGTCATTATTCTTATGTGTCATTTAGTGGATCACAGCCCAAACTAAAACATCAAATATCTTTTGCTAATATACTTCCCCGTGAAACCAAGAACAAGAACTCAGCCACAAATAAAGACCTTGTACTGAGGTCTGGCCCTCGGAAAACACCCAAAAAGAAAAGCCAACTGACCGTACTCAACTTAGTCACCTTTAAAAGAACACCAGCCCTCTCAGAGGAGAAAGAATCAGCACAAGTACTCTGGCAATTTAAAAAGCCAGAGTGTGTACTTACTTCCAAAGGAGTCCACTAGCTCTCCGGTAATGGTTCTTAACCAGTCTGAAATGACTGAGATGATGGATGTAGAATTCAGAATTTGTATAGCAAGAAAGCACATCAAGACTTAGGATAAAATTAAAACCCAATCCAAGGAATGCAAGGAATATAGTAAAATGATGGAAGGACTGAAAGATTAGTAACTTTTAAAAGAAAGAACCACACTGAACTTCTAGAGCTCAAAAATTCACTACAAGATATATAATCGGAAGTATTAACAGCAAAATGGACCAAGGTGAGGAAAGAATCTCAGAGCTCAGTAACTGGTCCTTTAAACCAGGCTTAATTAGACAAAAAATGAATACAAAATAAGTTTAAAATGAACAAAACCTTAGAGAAATATGGGATTCTATAAAGAGATCAAATATATGACTCATTGCAATTCCTGCGAGAAAAGGAGAAAGAATGAAAGACTTGTAAAATACACTTGAGGACATAGGCCATGAAAATTTTCTTAATCTTGCTAGCGAAATTGACTTGCAAATTCAAGAAATAGAGAGCATTCTGGCCAGATGCTGTAAAAGTCAACCATCCCCAAGGCTCAAAATTAGATTCACCAAGGTCAGCACAAAAGGAAAAATCTTAAAGGCTGCCAGAAAGAAGAGTCAGGTCATATATATTATACACAGACAGAACCCCATCAGGCTGGCAATGGACCTCTCAGTAGAAGTTTTACAAACCAGAAGAGATTGGGCTTAGTTTCAGCAACATAAAAAAGGAAATGCCAGTGAAGACTTTCATATCCCACCAAACTAAACTTCATCAATGAAGAAATAAAATTCTTCTCAGAAAAGCAAATACTGAGGACATTTGTTTCCATTAGATCAGCCTTACAAGAGGTCCTTAAGGAAATGCTGAACGTGAAATTGAAAAATGACACCTGCTACTGCAAAAACACACTTAAGCACATAGCCCGCAGACACTGTAAAGCAACTACATGTTCAAGTCTATATCACACTCAGCTAACAACCTGATGAAAGGATCAAAATCTCACATATCAATACTCACCTTGAGTTTAAATGGATTAAACACCCCACTTAAAAGACACAGAGTGTCAGGCGGGATAAAAAGACAAGAATTAACTGCCTTTTGTCTTCAAGAGACCTATGATGAAATCCACAAGCTCAAAGCAAAATGATAGAGAATGATCTACCAAGCAAAAGGACAACAACAAAAAAGAGCAAGAATCACTATTCTTGTATCAGATAAAACAGACTTAAAACCAATAATAATTAAGAAAGGCATTACGTAATGATAAAGGATATAATACAACAAGAAGACATAACTAACTGTCTTAAATATATATGCACCCAACATTGGAGCACCCAGATTGATAAAACAAGTTCCTCTTTATCTACCAAAAGACTTATTTAGCCACACATTAATAGTGGAAGACGTCAACACCCCAGTGACAGCATTAGACAGATTATCAAAGCAGAACTCTAACAAAGAAACTTAACTTTGACACTTGACTTAAACTTGACACTAGACCAAATGTATCTAATAGACATCCAAAGAACACTCCACCCAGCAACCACAGAATATACATTCTTCTGACCTTCACACAGAACATGTTCTAATATTGACCACATGGTCAGTCATAAAGCAAGTCTCAATAAATTCAAAGAATTAGATATCATACCAAGCACATTTTCAGAAGAGTGCAATAAAAAAAGAAGTAAATATCAATAAAATCTCTCAAAATTACACAAATACATTAAAATTAAACAATTTACTCCTGAATAACTAACTCTTCAGAGAACATCAAAATTAAGGCAGAAATAAAAAATTCATTGGAATTAATGAAAATAAGGACAAAACTTATCAAAAGCTCTGGGATGTAGCTAAAGCAGTGGTAAGAGAAAAGCTTATAGCCCTAAACACCTTCATCAAGAAGTTAGAAAGATCTCAAATTATCAGTAAAAATAACTAGGCTCATGCCTG
Organism: Homo sapiens; assembly: GCF_000001405.40. Lineage (NCBI taxonomy): Eukaryota > Metazoa > Chordata > Mammalia > Primates > Hominidae > Homo > Homo sapiens. Next base: position 20,716,687 of record NC_000005.10, on the reverse strand, counting down.
TAACCCCAGCACTTTGGGAGGCTGAGACAGGTGGATCACGAGGTCAGGAGTTTGAAACTAGCCTGGCCAACATGGTGTAACCCTGTCTCTACTAAAAACACAAAAAATTAGCCAGGCGTGGTGGTGCGTGCCTGTAATCCCAGCTACACAGGAGGCTGAGGCAGGAAAATTGCTTGAACCCGGGAGGCAGAAGTTGCAGTGAGCCAAGATTGTGCCACTGCACTCCAGCCTGGGCGACAGGGTGAAACTCCATCTCAAAAAATAAAATAAAAAAAAATAAAAATAAACTAGAGAAGAACTATATGTAATTGAGGTGCAAAAATCCATACAAAAGATACATGAAACCAAGAGTTGGTTATTCAAACAAATAAGATTGATAGAGCACTATCTGAATTAACAACAACAGCACAAGAAGAAAATCCCATCAGAAATTAGAAAGAAAATATTACAAATGATTTTTCAGAAATACAAAACATCTCAGACTACTATGAACAACTCTATGCACAAAAATTACAAAATCTGGAGGCAATATATATATATTTCTGGAAACAGATAATACCTCAGAATTGAACTAGGAAAAAAATAAAATCCTGAATAGACCAATATCAAGTTCTGAAATTGTATCAGTAACAAAAAACCTACCAACCAAAAAAAGCCCTGGACCAGATGGATTTACAGTTAAATTCTCTCATATGTATAAAAAAGAACTGATATCAATCCTACTGAAACTATTCCAAAAAATTGAGGGAGACTCCTTCCTAACTAATTTTATGAAACCAGCATCAACCTGATACCACAATCTGGCAGAGACACAGTGAAAAAAAAAATCAAAAACAAAACTTCCTGCCAGTATCCCTGATGAACATAGCCATAAAAATACTCAACAAAATACTAGCATACTGGATCCAGCAGCACATCAAAAAATTAATTCACCATGATCAAGAAGGTTTTATTCCTGTGATGCAAAGTTGTTTCAACCCATACAAATCTATAAATATGATTCACCACATAAACAGAATTAGACAGTAAAACCATATGATTATTTCAACAGATATAAAAAAAGACTTTTGATAAAATCCAACAGCCCTCCATGATAAAAAAAACTCTCAACAGAGTTGGCATCACAAAACATAGGTCAAAATAATAAAAGCCATCTATGGTAAACTCACAGCCAACATCATACCAAATAGGCCAAAGCTGGAACCATTCCCCTTAAGAACTGCAAGACAAAGGTGCCCACTCTCACCACTCCTATTCAATGTATACTAGAAGTTCTAGTCAGAGTAATAAAGTGAAAGAAAAAAATGAAAGGCATCCATATAGAAAAAGAAGATGACACTAATAAATGGAAAAGCTTACATGCTCATGTATAGGAAGACTCAATATCATAAAAATAGCCATAATGCCCAAAGCAATTTAAAGATTTGACACTATTCCTAGCAAACTACCAATGTCATATGGAACCTAAAAAGATCCTAAATAACCAATGCAATTCTAAGTAAATAGAACAAATCCAGAGACATTGTACTACCAAAGTTCAAACTATACTGTAAGGCCACAGTCACAAAAATAGCATGATACTTGTACAAAAACACACATGTAGATCAATGGTACAGAACAAAAAACCTGCAAATAAAGACTCACACTTACAATCACCTGATCATCAACAAGGTGGACAATAATAAGCAATTGGGATAGGACTACCTATTTAATAAGTAGTGCTGGGATAGTTGGCTAGTCACATACAGAAGAATGAATCTGGACCCCTAACTTTCACTGTATACAAAGCTAACTCAAGATCGATTAAAGCTTTTAAAATAAGTCCTCAAACTAAAATCCTAGAAGAAAACCTAGAAAATACCTTTCTTGATGTTGGCCATGGCCAATAATTTTTGGCTAAGTCCCCAAAAGCAATTTCAACAAAAACAGAAATTGACAGGTGTGATGTAATTAAACTAAATTGCTTCTGCACAGAAAAATAAACTTTACAAAGTAGACAACCTATAGAGTGGGAGAAAATATTCGCAAATATATACAAATCACCTTGTATCTGACAAAAGTCTGATATCCAGAATCTATAATGAACTTAAACAAATCAAGAAACAAAAAACAATCTCATTAATAAACAGGCAATAGACGTTAACAGACACTTCTGAATAGAAGACATACAAGTGGCCAAAAAGTTCAACATCACTAATCATCAAAGAAATGCAAATCTATACCACAATGAGATACTATCTCATGCCACTCACAGTGGCTATTACTAAAAAGTGAAAAAAAATAATAATAATAACAGATGCCGGCAAGGCTGTGGAGAATAGGGAATGTGTATACACTGTTGCTGGGTATATGAATTAGTTCAGCCACTGTGGAAAGTAGTTTGGAGATTTCTCAAAGAACTTATCATAGAGCTACAATTTGTCCCAGCAATCCTATCATTGCATATATGCCCAAAGGAAACATAGATCATTCTACCAAATGGACACATGTACCTAAATGTTCATCATCATGCTGTTCACAACAGCAAAGACATAGAATCAACTGAGGTGCTCATTAGCGGTGGTGGATTGGGTAAAGAAAATGTGGTATAAATACATTATGGAGTACTACAGAGCCATAGAAAAAAGAACGAAATCAGGTCCTTTGCAGAAACATGGTTGCAGCTGGTGGTCATAATACTAAGCAAATTAGTGCAGGAACACAAAACCAAATATGGCATGTCCTCACTTATAAGTGGGAAATAAATACTGAGCACACATGGGCATAAACATGGGAAAAAGAGACACTGTGGACTACTAGATGGGGTAGAAAAAAAGAGTGGTGTGAATTGAAAAACTACCTATCATGTACTATGCTTACTACCTGGGTGATGTGATGCATACCCCAAACCTCAGCATCACACAACAGACTCGTGTAACAAACTTGTATATGTACCCTCATATCTAAACTAAAAGTTGAAATTAAAAACAAAATCAAAAGCAAAACAAAGCAAACTAACTAGGTGAGATTATAGATGTGTTAACTGACTTGATCATTATCATTTCACATAATATATACATACCAAATAATTAGATAGTATACATTAATCACACAATTTTTGAATTATACTTTATTAAACCTGCAAAATAAAAAAAAGAAAATGTCATTTGGTATAAATAATGCAAGGTCTGTCTATCTATCTAATACCAATGAGAGTTGTTTCCTGTTAAGTACAGAGTTTTTGTGAATTATTATGGAATTTTTCCTGAATTTATTGTGAAGTAGTAGTAATCATCGGAAATTGAAATTTGTTAATATTTTTACTTTTGAATATATTTTGGAAATGGAAAGTATAATGATTTTTTTTCTTTTTATAATTCATCACAATGTACTGAATCTGGGATGTATAAAATCAAATGTGTATTTATTTATTCAATCACTCAAATATGTTTGTAAAGCTTTCAAAATAGGCATTAGTCCTTTTTTAATGACGATCACAATCTAGTGGGTAATACCCATTTATTTCCTGCTGTTAATTAGATTGATTAAATGTTACCCTGTGTCCTTGTCTCAAAATGCAAACTCTGTCTACGTCTTTAGTGGAAAATCTGTTAAAATGCTGAGAACTAGTTTTCAGTCAAGTCAGTCAGCCAACGGCTTACATCTTTAGAGGAAAATATGTTAAAATGCTGAGAACTAGTTTTCAGTCAAATCAATTGAATAAATAAATACACATTTGAAATGACTTTGTGGGCATTAATAATTCACTTAATCTTTCTGCTTGGTACATTCTCACCTAGATCAGCGTTTCTCAGCCTTAGCTGCAAATTTGTATCATCTGGAAGTAGGACATGATAAAGAGAGAGAGAGCTAGAGATACACTTAGAGAAAGTGAACTATCTCTGGGCATGAACAATCTCTGGGCATCAGGTAGAGATAGAGACATAGAAAATGAGAACCATCTCTGGGCATGAACCTGAGTAAACTATTAACAATCTTGCCAGCTTACTCTGATGGACAGTTGAGAACCACTGGTGTATGCATGAAGCAATGCTAATCAATTTAAATAAAAATCCCGTAAATATGTGTCTCCTAACACATTGCTATGGTCACATACTTCTTAGTTATCATTTATGGCTGTTAGTGACTATTTTCACCTACTTACCACAGATATCATGAGAATAATTAAAATGGCTTGTGGAAGTACATTTAGGGGATTTCTTTAAAATTACAAAATAGAGCTTGGCTACAATCATCAAGATTATGACTAAAAAGGAGAAAAGAAATGCAAATTATGTTTTGGTCCTATAATTGGCTGTGTAATAACAATGGATTGACTCTGCATGTACACAGCATAAAGGGACAGAAAATGAAAATCTTAAGCTTGTGTTATTTGACCGAGGCAGTTTCTAAGGAATAATGCACTTTATACACAGACATTACAATACTTCTCAAGGATAAATAACCTACAAGTAATCCCAATTCCAAACGATGTTGCCAAGTACCTTTTGACCTTCATATCAGCTCTGAAGTGACTAGTAAATTGGATGATCCCACTGGGCATATTTATAGCAGTATTTAATTTTAACTACACAGAATGTACCTGTTTACTCAGACCTGATTTTAATATCAGAGTATCTGTGGAAGGCTTAATACAAATCCTTTTAAGAACTCTTATTGACAGATAGAATTTTCCAGCAGAAAAGTTAGTTTAAAAAAGTCAGCAGAGCAGGAACTACATCAGTTTGCCTTGATTGGAAGAGACAAAGAGATCTTGAATTATTCTTAGGAAGAATAATTTAGCCGTATAAATATATAATTTTTATGACTATTGGAGTAATTTTGATTTATAACAGATAATTACTTAATCGCTGGGAATAGGACTTTTGGCAAATTTCATATGAATGTCTTCTGTTTTCAATTACTGAAACATATTTGTAGAATTTACTCAGATTACTCACGGCCAAGACATGCACGCTCCCAATGACTGCTGCTGAGCTTCCTATTTCACAGTAGCCACAACTGTATAAAATATGGCTACTGTGTTATATACCAAACTTTCCTAATCATGATTAAATAATCAAGTTTTATGACTCTCCTCTTTTAGAAGATGCAGTATGAACAAAATCATTATTGAGAAAGACCCTACTATGAATCTGTAGCTCTGTTACTGACATCACACATTGTAGTAAGCTGAATGATGGCCCCCAAAGATGTTTGCATTGTTGTCCCCAACATATGTGAATATGCTACCTGCCATGTTGAATGAGATTTTGTAGATGTGATTAAGTACCTTGAGATGAAATTATCCTGGTTATTCTGTTTGGCATATAGTCGCATGGGTTCTTAAAAGCAGAGAATCATTCCTGGCTGTGGTCAGAAAAAGAGATGTGACTATAGAAGAATGATCAGAGAGATAAAACTTTGTTGGCTTTGATGCAGGATGGGGACCAAGAGTTAAGGAATGTCGATAGCCTCTAGAAGCTGAAAAAGTCAAGGAAATAAATTATTTCTTCTAGCCTCTAAAGAGGAACACTGCAGCCCTTTCAACATTGGGATTTTAGTTCAGTGAGACCCATATTGGACTCCTAACTTATAGATCTGTAAGATGATGAACTTTTCTCGTTGTAAGCTGCCAAGTTTGTGGTAATTCAATACTTCAGCAATACAAAAATAATACACAGCTCAAAAGCCTCAGCTATTCAAAAATCTACATTTCAATGTATTATTACCTTTCAGGATCCAGATTGTCAATGGACCTTACCACCAATATCCTCTCCATCTACTCATATATTGTTCAGATAAAACAAAGTATGGGAACTAATCAATCTAAGAGCATACTAAATCTGGGCAAAGGCTGCTTTTCTTTTTTTTTTTTTTTTTTTGAGACGGAGTCTCCCTCTGTCGCACAGGCTGGAGTACAGTGGTGTGATCTCAGCTCACTGCATCCTCCCCCTCCCAGGTTCAAGCAATTCTCCTGCCTCAGCCTCCCGAGTAGCTGGGATTACAGGTGCATGCCACCATGCCCGGCTAATTTTTGTTTTTTTAGTAGAGTCGGGGATTCACCATGTTGGCCGGGCTGGTCTTCAGCTCCTGACCTCAAGTGATCCACCCGCCTCGGCCTCCCAAAGTGCTGGGATTACAGGTCTGAGCCATCGTGCCCAGCCAAGCCTGCTCTTTTTCAGGTGGCCAAGGCAATTTTCAAACGTGATGTGATTTCTCTTATTTTTTACAAACATACAAACCTTCCCTATGTGGAATTAGTGTCTATATTTCAGAAAAATTAAGTTTCTTGTAAAGTGACTTTATTTACCAGGTGGTCATTTATGCATAAATTTACATCTTTTCATATAATAATTATGTAGTTTCCTAGAGCCAATTTAATTTCTCTTAAAATAATTTATTTTGAGATGACCATTATCTGATTTCATATGTGGAAATTCATAGAATGCAGAAATTCCAAACCTGAATTTCCTAAATATTTTTCATAAGACCTTCTATATAAATAATTCTGACCCATTTAGGGAATAATCTAATTTATTTGAATATTTTTTCTGTTAATCTACTATAAAACTAAGAAATAATATATGGATTAATTACAATCAGAGATTTTGGTTACAACCATGGATATATTATGAATGTTCATCTCTTGACACTAGATTATAGAAGAAATAAGACTGAAGTGAGGGATTTAGGAGAAATATACTTACATACACAAACAATCATATATATATATTTATAAACATACATATGTGTGCAACACATACATAGTGTATAAATAATAATTTTATCAATCGCATTTTCACATTTGTTCTTAAAAACACCAAATAAGTCAGTGCCTTCTGTATCTCTTTAGAATTTTTATAGGTTTGATTTTAAATTAAATAACTATATATTTCAGTTTAAAGTTATCAAATCAATGTCTACTATCTGATCATATTTATTTCAGAAAAAAACTCTGTGTATTTGAAATTAATAAACAACCTATAATGTTGTTTACTATGTATTAATCATGATTTAAAACACATACAACAATAGCAAACAAACTTGAACAAAGACATTCAACTCATTCCAGAGGAATGAGAGATGTTTTTTCCAAGAAACTAGTTTTCATCTCCTCATTATTTATTTTAATGTCTCCTTTTTACCAAATTATACAAATAATATGCAAATAAGTGATTAAAATAACATGACAAAATCATAATGACCTCTAGAAATTATGACGAGCTGCAAAAAGAATACTCATTAACAAGGTTGTACAATTAATTTTGTAAAAATGTTCCAAATGCAATTTGGCAGAAGAAAGATGCACAGGTTCCAGAAACAATTTATAGTGTTTATTGAAACATGCATATTTCCCAATTAAAATCCACTGATGAAATTTTTAAAATTTAACTTTTGAATGTCTTTATTCTATTTTATTAGATAGTTCTTTATCTTCAAATATAATACTGATAAATCTGAGGACTTGCCAAGTAATATGCTGTGATAAGTAAGAATATTGGAATTTGTCCCTGTACTATTCCAGGTAAACATTGATGAGAATAAAAGATATATACAAAAGTAAATAATTCAGATACTAAAAATTTAGATAATTAAAGAATTAAAAAAAAAAACCAGAAGTATAAACATAGAAACATGCCAAAGTTCTGTGAGAAAGATTCCAAGTAACACATTTGAGAATACATTAAGGAGCAATATTATAAGTACATAAATAATTCTAAACAAAAGATCATTAACGCAAGTGAAAATAAATATTAGGAAGTTTAAGTTCCTACCTTTAGACCAAAGAAGCTAACATAAATTAAGAAAAAATATACAAATGCAGATATAGGGTATAGGGTTCATTAGGTAGCCCCTACCATCAGACTTGTGTATATTATTCAGTACTGAGGGCATTAGAATCCACAATGGATGAGAGAAAAACATAAACAAAGGATCAGGGCAGTGTAGTCCTAAAGAAAACCTACTATAGATTTGCAAAGTTGCATTAAGTTAGTAGGTAGGCGAAGGACAGAATACCTGTCTAACAGAACTCCTACCATCCCGTTTTTCTTTTGCTTTCTGTTTGAAATCATTAGTTTATTTCCACAATGCCTCACAAGGATATTGCCCCAAATGAACATACCTGAATGAATTTCATTAAATTATATGGACGTGTAAAGCATATTCATATACATTCTCTCTACATATATAATTATAATTTGCCCAATTCTCTGTGCCTGAATATTTGAAAAGGATGTTTGATCAGCATCTAATTGGACTATGAGGGAGCTGGTGATAGGTCCTACCGTTCACCAACACTGGGCTCCCTAAATTATAAGGGGACGCAGTGCGGCGTAGCACTTAAGAGTTCCGTTACTCTAGAGTCAGACAGAACAGATTGCAATCTCAACTCCACCACTTACTAAATGTGTGACCTTGGCCAATATTTATATTATCCAATTTACAGCTACTCCAACTGTTGTCAAAACAAAACCAGTTATGATAATGCTCCCTATCTGCTAAAACCACTGTGAAGGTTAAATCAAATAATCCCTGACCAATGACAGACTGATAATAATCCCTGACCGCTGACAGACAGACTAAGAGAGAGGGAGTGAGAGAGAGAAAGAATGCTATGTGAAACAAAATCTGCAATACTAGCAAAAGAAAAAAAAACCTTTTATATTGGGGAAAAAAAAGAAAGAATAAGAATTTCAGAAAAATACTGCTTATTTTTCTTAATAACAGTCTCATAGTTTGGATTTTCTAGAAGTAGAGTTTAAGACAGTGATTCATATGCATACATTTTATTGGGCATACTTCTGTCAGACAAGGCCAATTCTCTGGAGTGAGCTGACATCACTTGGCAGCTGGAGATCGCTCACTGACCCAGTAAAGAATATCTCGGTAGGGCACTGTCCAACCCTTGCAAGCCTCAGATGAATATGGCTCTCGCATTAAGTTCACCATATCCATGGTTACAAAACGCTGCCCATTCATAGCTCAATGTGGGCAACTGTGCAATTGGCATTATGCTTCAGAGCCGAACTTTATGAAATACATTTTATGTAGCCAAACCCTCCACTAGGAGCTTTAAAAAAACATAAAAATAAAAAGGTTTAAGAGGAAATTTTAATACACTAACAGGCCACTTAGAGAATATTTCAGTGTTCAAATGCAAATTCTTAGCATGGTATGGTTTTTCAATTGTTAAAAAAAATTGAATTCAAAAACTGTATATATAAAATGTTACATTTTTCTCTAAATTAAGAGTCTCAAACTCCAGTGAAATTAATTTTAAAATTCTTAATATCAAATACATATATTAGCAGTTTTTTAAGATTAAACATAGTCTATTTATTTATGAAGCTGTTTGGACATTTTACTATTTTTCAGGTGAACTATCTGGATTCTGCTTACCTAGACAATGTCCATTGGACTTTTGACACGAATTATTACACTCTTTATCTTCCACGGTGAAATAGTTCTTATTACATTAGACTACTGGTTTAAATTTTAAAAATATTGTAAATGTATGAAACAACAACATATATGGAGAGTTCTATAAATTATATACAATGACAAAGCTTGGGAGATAATTATTGACAATGTTACTGATGCTATACATTAGTTGAATTGCTAATTAAAAATAAATGTCATGGTCAGTGAGGTTTCCCACTTAAACCATGCATTGTGTCTCCTTTGGGTACAACCATTTAATTTTTTTACCGATTTTTTTTTCTAATCCATGCATCCATTTTCGTTAATTTGATTTCTTCCTTTTATCCTTCATTACATAAAGTTAGTTTTACCCTGGACTGATTTTCTCTACACTGGAGAGTGAAAGGTAGTCTGAGAGATTAATCTTGTATTCATTTTTTTCATATTGCACATTAGGGACTTAGTTCATTTTATACTCATAACAGACTCTCACGGACTGGTTAATTTATAATGAACCATGGTTCATGGTTCTGGAGACTGGAAATTCAAATGCATAGCAACGGCATCTGGTGAGTGCCTACATTCTCTGTCATCCCATGGCAGAAAGCAGAAGGTCAAGAGTAGGCAAAAGCAAGCGAGCAAGAATGGGCCAAACTTGTCTTTATAACAAACCCATTCTCATAATAACTAACCCACTCCAAGGAAAATGATATTAGTCCATTCATGAGGGCAGAACTCTCATAATTTAATCACCTCTTATTAGGCCCTAACTCCCAACACCATTACATTGAGAATTAGGTTTCCAACACATAAACTTTGGGGGACACATTCAAACCATAGCAGGTATATAATTAAATAAATGGTTTTGTCTAGCTCTGAATTACTAGATATGGCAGAAAATCATTTCTACAGTTGAGATTTTAAATGTATAGCATCTTGAATTCCTCTATTGTTTTTATATGCAAGTTCTCTTTATGTATCAGTGAAGAAGGGCTAAAATATTGCAGAAAATTGTTTTAGATTGATGATTAGTAAATTGCAAAGCTTGTAATGGTTTATCTGAGCAGGGTAAGCTATTCTAAGCTCACTACCTCGTATTAAATAATGTGGAGAGTTCAACAAAACAGAATTTTAATCAAATTACAAATACTTATTGGTAGTTGGCTCTCTTTCTCCCCTTAGTATTCATTTGGATTTTAAAATTGTTTTAATTGAGAAAAATTGACATTGCCCTGACTTGCCTACCCTTTTCTTTGCAGCTGAAATTTCAATGCTACAGAGAAGAGAGAACAAGATAAACATGTTTCTTCATCTTAATGTACCTCTGTATAAGTTCTTGCATTCAATTACACATAATCAATGTATAGAATGTTCCTCATACAATGGGCATTCCACCTTGTATGTGCACACACGGATTAGAAATATAACTTCTGTACAAATTATATTGGCAGCTTCTGTGTCTTACCTCTAAAGACATGTACATGCTTGCATTTCCGTTTTTGGAGGATGGACATTTAATTACAATTTTAGATTTATGGTCCAACATAAGGGAAATAATATAGCTAAAAATGAAAGAAAAAGATTCTGAGCTTAATTTCTGGGTGATGTAATGTTATGTACAACAACCCCCCCATGACATGTGTTTATCTATATAACAAACCTTCGCATGTACCCGTAAACCTAAAATATAAACTTTTTAAAAAGATTGATTCCAGCATTAGGAAGTCAATGTTTCTTCTTTAAATTGCAATCTAGAGAAAGATGCTACTATAGTTTTGCCTTATTATTATATTTGTATTTTAATATTTTACTATAAAATGTATTTTATTATGATTATGATAATTTTATTTTAATTAAAAATCTCAATAACAAAGTCCTCACAATTTCATATATGTCTGTGATATACTAAAGTTTCTGCAAGTATTGAAAAGTGCTTAAAATGAGAAGCAACATATATGTTGTTGATTATCATCCAAAGGCTATGGGTAAAAAAGCAAGGAGTGCTCTAGAAGGGCAAAAAACCAGACTGGACATAGAAAGACTCTCACCACATTGATAAAAGGTCCCTATTATATTTTTAAATTAAAAATAACAATAATTATTATATGCATTCATTCTTAAATACTACCTAGTAAACACACATTTTTAATCAGTGATTGGATTCCATCATTTTCAACCCTTCTGTAACCTTTAAAAACTTCAGACATGTTTATCTTGCCTATCCAAACAACGAGATGGTATCAATGGAGCATACAGAATACTTTGGTTTGTGTTGATACGTTAAAAACAAGAAAACAAACAAAAAACCAATTGATTTTTATTTTAGGACAGACAGTGGAACAAAGATATAAAATAATACTGCCATAAACCTTTGCACAGCAGTGCTGACGTGATCTTAACATCTGCCTATATTACAAAAGGGAAGTTAAGCTTGAATATGAAATGTGAAAAAAATAGCCTATTCAATTAAAAAGACTGATTTGGGAGGCGAACATTAAACACTAAGCAAATGCCCTTAGTGAGTTGGCAGGTGGTTAAAGAAATTACAGCAAAACGGTGGACTCCAGAGTCCTGAAGGGGTAATCAGCACAGTGCCTAAGATGAAATGTTAGGAAGTAGACTGTGATGTCTATTGCCAGAAAGATGACCAATGGTACAAGATATTTTGCACTCGAATTAGACAATAATGTGGCTCTTCCTACTAAAGCAGTAGAATAAAACATCATCTTTCACCTCAGCTCCTGGAGAAGATGATAATGTTTTTAGCAGAGTTCAAAAGGAATAGTGACTCAGGTTTTAGAAAGAGCTGCCAGGTGAAGCAAACAAGCAAAACAATTGCATGTTTAACAAATTAAACAAGTAGCCAACATTTGGAAAATTATATTATGGAAAAGAAAAACCTTTCCAAATTTGAAGGATAAAGTCTCTGAAAGTGTCGAAAGGGACATAAAATGAGAAGCTACAAATATGTTCATTATTGAAAAATGGCCATGGGTAAAAAAGCAAGGAGTGCTCAAGAAGGGAAGAAAAACAAAATGGAAGAGACAGACTAACACCACATGGATAAAGAGACTTTATTATATTTTAAAATTATATACAGTAATTATTATATACATTCATTCATAAATTCTATATAAGTAAACATACATTCTAATCACAGTGTTTGAACTCCATTTTTCTCAAAACACACACACACACACACACACACACACACACACGAAAAGCCTGTAACCTTTGAAAGCCTAAAATGTAGGAGTTCCTCCAGGTACTCACTTCATAGTTCAGATGGATCTTACCAGATTATTAGCAACAAGAATTCAGTGCCTATATCACAGTTAAAATTAAAGTTAAAATATTTAATAGAGGGACACCCACCCTCAATGCAGGTGGGCACCATCCAATTGGTCAGGGGTATGGATAAAACAAAAATGCATAGGAAAGCTCGCTCTCTCCTGGACCTAAGACACCCTCCTTCTGGTGCTTTTGGACATCCAAACTCCAGGCTCTCTGGCCTTGGGATTCCAGGAGTTGCAAAGTGGCTGTCTGAGTTCTCAGGCCTTTGGCCTCTGACTGAGAGTTATACCATCAGTTCCCTAGTTCTGAAGCTTCAGGACTTGGAGAAAGCTACTCTACTCTCTTCCCTGGTTCTCCAGCTTGCAGACAACCTATCCTGGAACTTCTCAGCCCCCATAATCGCATGATCCAATTCCTCTAATAAATGTAGAGATCTCTCTCTCTCTCTCTTTCTCTCTCTCTCTGTATGTGTATGTATATGCATGTGTGTATATATATATGTATACGTGTAGGTTCTGTCTGAGAGAACCCAGCCTAATACATCATGCAGCATATTATCAGAATAAAATTTGATAATGTATGTACAATGCTGAACACAGCATCTTGTATTTAAAAACATATTCAGCATTGAGTTACTGTAACTGCTGTCATTGATGCCTCTTCTTCTAAAATGAGATGCCATCACTTGTAAAATTATTTTTAAAAGATATATTTTTAAATGAAGAAGTCTTTTTATATGTCAAATAATTTACTTTAGATGTTTAAAATAGTATAGCTCACAAAAAATGTTGGCTCATAACAACTTCTACTGAGTATGTAAGAAAATGGTTTTGAAGTTCAATCTTTTTTTTAAAAAAAAGATGTATGAATGTATTCAAAATTTACATGAACACTCAGCTATGTATACTATAAATATTTTCCAAACTCCATGAGCTGATTAATTAAAACAGATCCTCTAGCCAGGAAGACAAGCATATGAATACAACAGTCTTTCTTTTATCAATTCTCCTGAAATATCTAGTATAGCACATAATAATTTTTATATATGAGTGAAGGTGGTTTCTATGTCCAATTAGCAATAATTGTGCCTCAGGTCATCTTCATTGACTATGATACTGCCACTCTGAAAAGCTGTCTACATCCAAATATTGATTTAATTTGGCAAAAAAACAGGCAGGCTTAGAAAGTGTTTTAGAACAGGACAATTAAATAATATAATATTTTCTATAATATTTCATTTTCTTATTTCTTCTCAAGATCTCACAACAATGGATATAGTTGCCTTTTTATCTCAAGAAGTATAAATTTTACAAACATAAAAGGTATGTCTCCCTTCAATATTTCCTCTTAATGCTGAGTGCAAAATTGGTTCAGAAAGAAAATTGCTGACATTAAGCTAGGATGTGACTTGGCAACTGATTGCAACATATTTCTATAGGATGCTGTGGGATGTACTGAAAAAAGGATGTTTTAGACCCAGAGAGACTGTTGCTCTGTTCCCAGGGAAATGGAAAAAAAAAAAACAAAAAAAAAAACCTTAATCTTGAGCTCTAGTTCTTGACTTATATAGAACATGGAATAAAGAAAAAGTTTTCTGTTCATCTCTGTACTTCAGTAAGTGGAGCAATATTATTGGCTTTGCATCATTTCATCAATTAAGGAAGGTCTTATAATAGCATACTTCAACTCTTTTAAATATTAGACAATGGGTTTATTCACAAAGTATTTTTTATAAACATATGTTTTAGGCATAAAGTTTATTCATCCAAAATAAAGATTCCCATATTTCCATCTACTATGATTTTTCAATCATACTTAGTATTAACCAATAATAATTTATACTCCACTACTGATACTTGCTAATTGAATTACACTTCTGATGATCATTTTTTTTTCAAATGACATAGTGAGAGTTATGATCGGTTATTTGGGTTGTAAGGATTGAAAACATAACTAGATCATATAAATTTGTGAAGGTTTTGCCATCACAAGCATTATAGGGAATAATGAACATCAACTATCCTACAGCTAAACCTAATGAAGACCAAATTGCCTCCAAGGTCAAAACAATAGTTCTTTGTGCTCAAAAGTGGTTCACATAATTGATGCTGCATTGATGCTGTCTATAGAGATTCTAGTTTTCTCCACATTTTCTCTATTTTTCAATTTCCTTTCTTTTCACTGGGGTCTATTGTTCTTTAACAGAAGTAATGGCCTTTTGTAAATATATAATTTTCACGTTGTAAGCATTGTTTCCAAGCTAGCTGCCCATCATCACGTTTTGGCTAGTCCCAGTCTCTGCTCATAGAACACTTGTCCACACTCTAAATTCTCTCTGTTCTCCATAGCCCCCACTCATCTAATTCCTATAGTCTTTTAACTCAAAGCCTTCAACTTATGTACAGCTTTCTCTGCCTCATGTTTCAAGCTTAATGCATCATCTTAATTCATCTTTCGACATCTATTTCTACTACATGCTGCTCTTTCTCTATCTTATATCTCCCAGAATATGTTTTATTTCAACAAATTGGTAATCTGTGCCAGGCATTGTTATTAGCAAAATGATAAGCCCTGCATGTAGCAAAGTTCCTGCCTTCACTGCATATGCATTAATAGCTCTGATTAGTCCACTTAAAAACCATTGTTCCTGTCATGCAGAACTTCATTGCCAAGCCACACAACACCCAGCCAGTAGGTTAGCAGCTCCGTGGAGCAAGGTAAACATGTTGATTCAATTGACTTTGGGCAGAAGGGTAAGATTTTGTCTTCAGCTTTTCTCATGAGGAGCATATACAACCCAAATGGAAAAACCCTGTATCCTCCTGCCCAAGCAAATAATTCGATAATAAATAATAGCTTCCACTAAAATATAATGAAGTGGTTACTTTGATAGGTAATAAAGTATGTGTTGTTTTCCTTTAGTTTTCTTTTAAAAATGTATGTTAACCTGCTTCAGTTTGGTTTTCCAGAGTATCCTGCATAAATGGACACAAACCACATTCACTTTGCTATGTGGATGGGGGAGATGCAAAAGGTGTCTTCAGTGCATGCCCAGATATTCCCACATGTTCAACCTTCCACTTAGCTCCCAATAAAACATGTTTCTTTTTTCACAACTAGGAGAGCTCTCCTTTTCATACCTCTGCAGTGACATGATGGCATACTAAATAGAGAAGTAAAAGGTTCATATGAAACTGTAATGTAAATATTATTCACATATTGAAATTCTGTAAACAGTATTAATATTTTTCCTGTGATGCTTTTAAATTTTAATATTCTGTAAAGTATATTTTAAGCATTCACAATTTGGATTTATTTGTGATAAGAGTATATTTTACCTATAATAGATTGGGAAATATATACATATGTGTGTGTGTGTGCATGCGTGTGTGTGTGTATGTGTGTGTGTGTGTGTGTGTATTAATATATTTTCCTTGAGACTAGTAGTGAAGGCAAAGTTCTGAAACTGAATTTGCCAAAATGGGATTAGATGTGTGAGGGATTTATTTGGATAAACACTTTTGCAAGGTGAGGTGGAGGAAGCAGGAATAGACACAGCCTTCAGCCACAATACTTGTAAACCTTATGAAGGAGGAAAGAAAATAAAAAAGGTTAGGTAAAATGAGTTTCAGATAGTAGCACAATACTTAACATATTTTGGCAGGCCAATGGAGAGTTATCAAGCCAAAGTTTTCCTCCATATTGAGCAGGAACAGCACCTCACTATGCTTTGTCATTGGCTGACAACAGCTGTGAGATGGGGATTTTGGAGTATATGTAGTGATGGATACAAAGATGAACCCCAGGAGCTGTCAGTCAACCGTGATAGTCACTAGGGGAGATATACATGAAGCAGTCTCATGACAGTTACAAGCCTTGACCTTTTATTTTATACTAAAGTAAAATATAATTTTATTATGAAGATCATCAGGCCACCTAGTTACTATATACCAGTTGCTATGGTTTGAATGCGTCCCTCAAAATTCATGTGTTGGAAAATAAATCCCCAGTGCAACAGTGGAAGGAGGTGAAATCCTTTGGGAAATGAGTATGTCATGATGGTGGCATCCTCATAAATGAATTAATGTCACTACAAAAAGGCTTGAAAGAGGGAGTTTGGTCCCTATTCCCACCTTCGGTTCCTTCCTTCATGAGAAGATACAGTATTTCTTCCCTCTGGCGGGTGCAGCAACAAAGTGCTCTCTTAGACACAGACACTGAACTACAGGTGACTTCATCTTGGATTTCCAGCCTGCAGAACTGTGGAAAATCAATTTCTGTTCTTTATAAATGACCAGGTAGTAAATATTTTGTAATAGTAGCACAAACGAATTAACACAATTGTGAGGAAATTATTTCTGTAACATTTTACATAACAAAATTCAGCATTTTATAGGTTAGTCTGTGAAGTAGAGTTATTTATTTATGTACTTGAAAGTTCTACTAATCTCCATGTCCCTGATAATTAAAGATGTTGAGCATATTTTTTAATGTACCAGTTGGCCATCTGCATATCTTCTTTGAAGAAATGTCTGTTCAAATCCTTTGCTCATTTTTTAATCAGATTATGCATGTTTTGCTATTAAATTGTAGGAATTTCTTATATATTTTGAAAATTAATCCATTATCAGATATATGGATTGCAAATATTTTCTCTCATTTTATAGATTGCCTTTTCATTCTGTTGACTGTATCCTTAGCTGTGTAGAAGTTTGCTTGGTTTTTGTTTTTCTTGTTTGTTTTTAGTT
Organism: Homo sapiens; assembly: GCF_000001405.40. Lineage (NCBI taxonomy): Eukaryota > Metazoa > Chordata > Mammalia > Primates > Hominidae > Homo > Homo sapiens. Next base: position 20,699,240 of record NC_000005.10, on the reverse strand, counting down.
TGATATAGTCCAACTTGCCTATTTTTTGCTTCTGTTTCCTGTGCTTTTGATGTCATATTCAAAAAGTCATTGCAAATAGTAATATCAAAATGATATTACCTCACTCTTGTTAGGATGTTGATTTTCAAAAAACCAAAAGATAAATGGTGAGGATGTAGGGAATTTGGAACCCCTGTACACTGTACATTGAGAATGTACAATGATACAGCAACTATGAAAACAGTATGGAGGTTCCTCCAAAAGCTAAAAATAATAGAATTACCATGCGATCCAGCACTCTTATTTCTAGATACATATCCAAAACAATTAAAATCAGGATCTTGTAGAGATATCAGCACTCCCACATTTATAGCATCATTTTTCACAATAGCCAAGATATGGAAATGACCCATGTCTATGCCCATTGGCAGATGAATGGATAAAGAAATTGAGGTATATACATACAATATAATATTTTTCAGTCTTAAGAAGAAAATCCTGCCATTGGTGACAATATTGATGAACCTAAGGGATCTTATGCTAAGTGAAATAAGCCAGTCACAAGAGGACAAATACTGCAGAATTCCACTTACACGAGGTATCTGTAATAGTCAAACTCACAGAGGCAGAGAAGACCACAGTAGTTTCCAAAGGCTCTGTTGTGGGGTAATGGGAAGTTTTTCAAGGAATATGAACTTTGTTGTGCAAGATAAATACATTTTAGAGAGCGGCTGTTCAATATGGTGCCGATAGTTTATACTATAATATTGTGCATGTCAAAATTTGTTGAGGCTGGGTCTCAAATTCAGTCTTCTCACCACACACATACACACATAAGGGGTTTAAAATAAATTTTGGGGCATCTTGGGTATGTTTATGTGAATCATATCCAAGTGAGTGTGGTGACAGTATTGGGGGTGTTTGCATATGTTTAAACTCATTAAAGTATACAAGTTAAATATGTGCAGTTCTCTGTATATAAATTACCCTTCAAATAGCTGTTAATAAAGTGCTCTTTAATATCATTAAAAGTGCATTAACTGAAAATTCAAACTTCAGAAAATATATTAATGGCATGCAGCCATTAGTTGGTATAATTTCCTATGGTGATAACATCTCTCTCCTTAAATTCAGTACATAAGAACTGATACCAACTGCAGTTAAATAGTGTCCACCTTATTTTGTTATATTTTACATATCAATGTGTTCAAAAACCCAGAATTAAAATTTAAAGAATCTTAGAATATTTTCTCACTTATTGACAGAATTACAGATTCAATTTTTCTGATAGTTTATGTTCAGCCATTGCTCCAACTATCCCAGAGATCGAGGGAGGTCTCAATAACTTATGAAGCATCATTATGTATTAGACATATGATGGTTAAAATGCCAGCTCTTCAACTTTTCCTTTATTTAAAATGGGTTCCAGGCACACACTGCTGTGACAGCCCTTCCTTTGTAAAGAATATAATCTGCCAACCTTATTCTCAAATTTTAAACCTAGAGCTGTATCCAAAAGCTACCTATAAAGTCATTTATTATGGGTTTTGCTTGACTCATTCTGAATACCACAGGGTAGTTTTAGAGTTTAGGGTTTCCACCAAGATATTTTCATTAAGCATATACTAAAATAGAGTTTTCTTACTGAATTTTTTTCAGCAAGTTTATAAATCTCAAGTGCAGAGCTTTCTGTAAGTTATTAATCAAAAATTAACTTTGTGAATATATCTACAGTATAATATATATATACATAAATATATTATATACTATAAATTCTGAATTCCTGAAGTTAAATACCAGTTTTATTATTAAGTCAATTGTCTAATTTCCCTGGTAGGGACATTTGTATATTTCTAAACCAAACATTCCATTTTGTTATGTGTATCAGTTAAGATGACCTATACTATACTGCAGTAATAAATAACTTTCACATCTAAAAACAATCCAGTCTCTATAATAAGTTTGCCAGGAGACTTAGTCATTTAGGAAGACAGCTGATAAAAACTCTGTCACAACTCATGCTAATACAGCTCATAAGGGACCACGGGAAGGCCTTGTAAAAATTCTTTCTATCCAAATGACATTGGTCTAAACAAGTAGAGTGGTTTCATTTACCTTCGAGCAGAGTGAAATACTGCCATCTTATTATTTGTATAGTATGAGAAAAACTAAAGTATTTGTGAGCAGTCTAATAGTTACATGATTGATAACATTTGTATTCACAATAGTGCCAGTAATAGAACCCAGAAGTATATTATGTTTCCTTTCAAACTACCCATAAACATACCCATTGATTAATCATTGGGTATATTTATTCAACCAAGGATATAGCATGTAATACTTCCATCTGGTTTGATATTTTCTATGTGTGCATCAGAATTTCATGAGATGTTGTCAAATGTTATAATAAAATTAATAAGCTCAAAGCCCATGCATGACATTTAATCTATTCCAAAAGAATGCCATTATGAAACTTAGGAAATATAGTAATCCCTCTTATCCACAGAGGATACATTCCAAGACCCCCAGTGGTTGCCTGAAACTGTAGGTAGTTCAAATCCCATATATACTGTACTATGTATTTTTTTCTATACATACATAGCTATGGTAAAGTTTAATTTATAAATTAGGCACAGTAAGAAACTAACAACAATAAAAATGATAAAACAGAACATTTATAATGTACCGTAATAAAAGTAGATGAATGTGGTCTCTTACTCTCTCTCAAAATATCTTGTTGTTATACACTCACCTATTTTTAGACCTCAGTTGAATGCTGGTTAACTGAAACCAGGGAAAACAGCCATGTACCCCAGGTCGGGGGGTGGGCGGGGGCAACTAAACATGCTTTCTTTATTCTGAAGTTCTCAAAATCCTAATAATTGAGTAATTTTATTCTTTCCCTGTGTAACTCCAGGCAATTTATTGAACCTCTATGCACCTAAGATTCAGGGATGCAATGAGAATGATAAAACTGCTCTATCAGCTGATTTATGTGAGAATTAAATCAGCCAATGCATGTAAATTCCTTAACTTGGTCCCACACAGAAAATTCTTTAATGTGCTAACCAATACTCTGTATGAAGTGAATGATATCATGTATATTATTTTGCAAACTCCTATTTTGCATATAGGTGCAGACATAGCTTCAGGTAAATACATGCAAACTAACTTATCTTTTAATATCTTAACATTTTTCCACTATAAGATACAAAAACTATTCTACCAATTCCCTGTTGAAGACACTCATGTTTAATTCTGATTTACTTTGCCATCATAAACAATGCTGTGAAAACATTCTTGTATATCCAGGATCACATATATGTCTTTACTTCTGTAGGACAGGTTCTTTTTAAAAATATTTTAACTTTTAGTTTAGGTTCAAGGGTGGATTTTTAATCTAGATGCTGAGACTAGCACATATGTATACTTTTGCACTATGAAAATATCAAGAATTTTTTCTCCAAGTGTAGTAACTTACAGTTGCACTAAAGTATATAAGATTTTCTAGGTTCATTGAAATTCCCTAAGAAATACTATACACTCTTATGATAAAAAATATATGTATAAAATTTATATTAGATTTCCACATGTATGAATTTAATAAAGCAACTTTATAATTTTTCCAGAAGCCCAGCACAGTGCCTAGAATGTATAATTTCACAGTATATTTTAGTTAAAATATTATAATGATGCCAATTGAGGGATGTATAATATTAGTAATAAACACTGAAATTACAAATATACTACTTCTGATATTATCAGGCCTAACAAAAACAAACTTAGTTGAATGTTATAAAATCAGTTACACATAAAAACATTATTATTAGCTATTACCCACTACATATTTTTCAAAATTCTGTTGTTGATTTAACCCATTTGCTAGATTAATATAATAGTCTCATTCAAGACCATAAAATCAATTTCCCATTTATTTTATCTATATTTATGACTAACACTTTAAACCAAAATTTGAAGTGAATGTATTATAAAATAATTAGTATAAAATAAAAGCTATTCAAAAGACATATACTTCTATTGTACATTCAGCATATTTTAGAAGGGTAATTATTTTTCAATCAAGGTTCTATCATAGAGAAATATAGACCCAGATATCTATCAAATACATGCAGTATTTCTTAAAGTAAATACAGTTATTAATGTCCTAATTCCATAGAAATATTACTCTTAAAAATTCTCAACACTAGTGATTTCTGAAGGAAAATACTGAACATTTTAAAGAGGGAAATTTATATGTCTGAAAATGAATGATACATTTATTTTAGTTCACCCATATGGCATGTAACAAAATTTTCTGGAAAAAGGAAACACATAAATTTCACAATTATGTATAACAGAATAAACAGTTAGATGCTAAAATTTTATATTTATAGAATGTACTTATTGTCTTCATGCTATTTTACATACATATAAGCAGTCAAAATATACAAGATTAGCTCTACAGAGAAAAAGTAAAATTGTCAGAATCTTCTTTTTGATCTCTGCATTTCTTTTTCAATAAATACTTCCAGCTGTTCTGATGATTATTAGAACATTGAGAAAAGTACTCAAATATTATCACTAAGTACTCAACTCCAAACACTAGTCTTTTTTCACTAGCAAGTAGTAATAGTTCCCTTTCCAAAAATCAGGGACAATATCAGAAGAGAGCTCATCCAAGCAACTTATTTATGAGAACATCATAAATTGATTAATCATACTGAGTCAATACTTGACATTCATTTCTAAGATTAGATGTTATGGAACTCTCATCAGCCTCTACAACAGATATTTAGGGATGTCTTCTGGCATAAAGTGATGTGTTGGGGAAAATATTTCAAATAAGAAAACCAGAACAATAGAAGAAAAATTACAAAGGAGTCTGCAGAAGAGGAAGTAGTGAAAGTATTCTGTGGTCAGAGATGTGAGTCAATGTTTTAGCACTTTTTGTTCTGCCGTAACAAAATATTTGAGACTGTGTAATTTATAAAGAACAGAGACTTATTTTTTATAGTTCTAGGGGCTGGGAAGTCCAAGATCAAATCACTGGAATATGTGGTATCTGGCAAGTCCCTGGTCTCCACTTCCAAGATTGTGTCTTGCTGCATCTTCCAGAGAGGAGGAACGCTGTTTCTCAAATGACAGTAGAGGGGAAGTACCAAGAAAGATAAGTCACTTCTAAATGTCCTCTTTCATAAAGGCATTAAACTCACTCTTGAGGTAGAAACCCTTACGGCCTAATCACCTCAAAAGTCCCACCTCTCGGCTGGGCGCTGTGGCTCACGTCTGTAATCCCAGCACTTTGGGAAGCCGAGGCGGGTGGATCACGAGGTTAGGAGATTGAGACCATCCTGGCCAACACGGTGAAACCCCGTCTCTACTAAAAATACAAAAATTAGCCGGGCATAGTCATGGGTGCCTGTAATCTCAGCTCCTCAGGAGGCTGAGGCAGGAGAATCGCTTGACCCAGGGAGTTGGAGGTTGCAGTTAGCCGGTGGGTACTTGAAAATATTGTAGGAATAATAATCCTGAGTGTTTCAAGGTCTGAGATGTGGCTCGGCTATTAAGGTCTGAGATGTGGTTCTACTACTTGTGCAATTTTAGAAACAAAATTGAATTTTTTGTAGCAGTGTTCTGTTGTATAATACAGGTGTGTCAGAGTCTGAGATCTTTAAAGACAGTTTGAATTAGTGGTAAAGGTCATTGTCTTTAAAATCAAACTGACACTCTTTTGAATCTTTAGTGACTCATAGTTAATTACAAATGGTGATAAAAGTGGAGACAAGATGTTGATGCTGTGAAGAAAGATAATTATTCATATTACAGATTCTTTGTGTCAAAATGATAGTTTAAACTACTATGTAGTTGGATTGATGGAGTGACAAAAGCTAAAGAGAATCAAGACTCTTTATGACTTTGTTTTATGGCATCATACTAAATCTGCAAATTTGATTATTGATCACTGAACTCTAATAATAATGTTTCCTACTACTAACAAAGGGCATCAAAATCATAATAATTGCATTTAGGTGCCATGGAACGATGAACCTAAAGGGCTAACATTATAAGGACAGGGATAACTCAAAGCCTGTGAAGAGACTTTAACTTGGGTTTTTCCATCTTGAAATGAACAGAGCACAGCTTTAGGATAACACAGAATGTAAAGCAGAAATTCCCTTGGGAAATCAGCTAAGTCAAACCCATTAGTTTGTTCAATTGGCCCTATTTTCCTAGATAAATCACTTGTAATATCACCAGACACATTCTGCATAAGAGAATCTTGACTAGAAATAAAAGTGCTACAGCAGCTCTTAGTATGTCTAAAGTTAAAATTGTCTGAAAATGTACATTATGGACATCCTCTTATGATGAAAACGGACTTTTTAACACAACTATTTTGAATCACATTCTGTGCCAAAAAAAAAAAAACTTACCGCTTTTTCCTTCTCATTGGTTATGTGTGTACAATGGCATTTTCTTAATGATAGAATAAATGATGAAATTGATCTGATGAAAACACCTAGTCCTTGCTTCTATAGAAATTTATTCCACTAAATCCCCAAGCCAAAAAAGAATGGGTCTACAGGATTTAAGAAGGCATTCCATTTAAGAGCAAATATAATTCTTCCAATGGATTATTTTTCAGTGCAAGGTATCTTTGAAAGCACTATCAGTTCACCTTTCTATGAGCTGTTAGATGTAACATTAAAGAAATGTCTGAAAATAAAGCTGTTAAACTGCACAGACGTAAAGTTCAAAATTTCTTAAAGCACAGTATAGGTTGAATCCTAAAAATATAGATAATGTCATCTCAAAACCTTTTTAAGAAAATATGGGCATCTTTCATAATTTAGGCATAGCAGTTCTCAGCTACTAGACATAAATTAAATCATTGCATTGGATTTCCTAAAGGAGTTCAATACTTGAGATAGAACCATCAATTAGCCATTGGACCAGGTTTTCTGTACCTAAGGAAAATTAGACAGCAAAACACTGAAAAATCTAGCTGTTTATAAACTAAAAAAAACAAAAAACAAAAAACTCTACTTTGCCTTAAAAATAAAATGTAATAAACTATCCCTGAAATATAGGAAGATAAATTAGATGCATAATATTGCTCCATCACAAGTAACTGCATTTCATTGATTCTTGGCAAGGAGAAGAGTAGACTGGATATATTTGCGAAAGATATTACTTGAGAAAAGACATTCTAAATCTCTAGACTTTGCTAATCCTATACAATCGTAACATCATTTACTAATTACTTTCATAAGAGGTGTTTCCTGCATGAATTCTGGTAACAAAATTCAATCCACTTCATAGTCAATTTATATTAAAGAGCAAGAAAAAGTATTAGAATAACGTCATTGCATCCTATACGTGAAGAGAACAAGGCCTGAAGGTATCACATTTTAATGTGATGGGTTTTTTTGACAAACAGAATTATTTGCAGCTTTTTGACTCTAGATATGGATAGCAAAGACATTATGCTTCTAAAATCATGTTGGAAATTCTGTTTTAAGTCAGAAACCAGTTAAACAGAATGAAGCTTTATTATAGCATTAATATTTTGGGTGCATCATAGATTGGTCTTGAAACTTTAATGCTTTTACTTTAGATTAACTTAACATTAGGTTTTTATTTTCTATATTATCTATTTATCTACATGTTTATTTTCATGTGTGTGTATATATACATATATATATATATATAATATGCATACATAGATGGACTTATTACAAGGTTTACACAATTGTGGCAGCTTATTAAGCAAGGCAGATGTCCACAGGGCAGGCAGTAAGAAAAGGAAGATCAGGATTAAAACTCCATAGGCATGAGCCGAAACCTGTTTCTCACAGGCAGCAATCAAGAAGGAAGATCCAGGGGAGAGAGAGAACAATTGTATACTTATTAGCTCTTACGATGTTTGCTTCCAGGAAATGACTAAAACTTCTTTAAAAGGCTTTATGATGTATTAATTCAGGCCAACCCATAAACAATTCCCTTTTATTTAACTCCAGTAAACTGATTATAGACTTTAATCATATCTGCACAGCCATTTCACAGCAGCACTAGAATTTGTGCTTGATTGAATTGAGTTGTCGAGATGGTGTTTTTGGTCTACATAGTGTTGACAGGGTTCTGGACTAAAAAACAAATGAATATATTTGGAGCTTTAACACAACATATTAGTGTAGGTTTCTTGATTTACCTCTCCATGGAATATCTACATCTGGTGTCTTATCCTCTAGATACTCTAAGTGGTCTTCACTTCAGTTGGATAGCTTGGGCCTCCATACAACATGGGAACTGAGCTGGGTGTCTAGAAAGGAAAGTGGAAAGTACTGGTCCTCTTAAGTCCTTGGCTTGCAGTATTACCTCTTATCACATTCTTTTAATCAACGTGATACTCAAGGTAAGTCCAGATTCAAGGTGAAGAAAATAGACTCTGCTTCTTTGAAGGAAGAGCATGAATGTAAAAGGATTGAGGGAAACACTGGAATCCATATTTGTAGGAAACCACATTATAGCTTCCGTCTTAAACAAGTCGCAATATCCCCACATGCAAAATACACATGTCCTCCTTCTCAAGAACCCAGTACTCCATCCAATTGCAATATAATGATGGGCACCATATCTGGATACAGATGAGTCTCTTTGGAATGTTTATTCTTTTTCTGGAAACCGGTAAAGTCAAGTCCTTGTTAGCTTCTCCATATACAAGCAATGTATAATGGTGACATAGGGTCAGGAAAACTGCGATAGACACCCTTTTTCACAACAAGCTGAAACTGCAGGCTCATTGCAATCAGTGGCCAGTAGTAATTCCGAAATCCAGCCTGGATTTCCAGGAAACCCTACTCAAAAAACAAGGAATGTTCCTTGATTAGGGTATATATCTGCCATCTTAGACTAGTTTCCTAAACAAATCCTTGTCTTGGCTTTTTTGCTAAAATCTCTGGCATTTTTATTTCATTGTCTCAAGTAACCTCCATTTAAAAAAGAAATATACCATGTTTGTAACTGAGCAGTTTGCTCAACCAGTTTGCTTTGTTTCCACAGATAGTTGGGGGCCCAGAAGCCTTTTTGCATTTTGAACTCCTCCACTTATTTTAGTAGAAGCTGATGGTGCTTTTGACAATAGGGTTTCCTAAAATCTTTATGGAACTGCTATATAACAGACTGTCATTCTCTCCATTAGAAAAAGTTCTTCTGAGAAGAATTTAAATATTTCTGAAGTTTTAACAAAGGGTTGTATACCAACACTATTGATTTTATTTTGACTCCATCAGCATCCTGGATGTTATCTTTCCTTTGGGGCTATTTCTTACTTTTAGGAACTTTTGCCAGCTTAACCTGCTAGGAATGAGAAATAGTTTCCAACCTATAAAATTTTTGGTTAGAAATATTTTCTGTAATTTTGCTTAAAAATGAAATGATTTCTTATTTAACTCCTTCTTTTTCATGTATTACTTTTTTTTTTTCTTTTTTTTTTTGAGACGGAGTCTCGCTCTGTTGCCCAGGCTGGAGTGCAGTAGCATGATCTCAGCTCACTGCAATCTCCGCCTCCAAGGTTCAAGCTATCCTCCTGCCTCAGCCCTGCTAGTGGCTGGGATTACAGGCATGAGCCATCATGCCTGCCTAATTTTCATATTTTTAGTAGAGATGAGGTTTCACCATGTTGACCAATCTGGTCTCAAACTCCTGACCTCAGGTGATCCACCCGCCTCGGCCTCCCAAAGTGCATGTATTACTTTTTAAAGTTCCAATTGTCTTTTTTGTATTGCTTTGCCATAAGCAATAAAAAATTCTATCTGGAAATCTTCTTGGACTGATCTACAAATTCATCAGGTACATTTTAAAAAAATATCCATGTTCCCACTGTTGACAGGGTTGTCAAAATTCTGCCACTACGGTATATGCCTTGGGATTTCTTCAGCCTTTAATAACAATTTTCTCACTAATCTTCCAGACTTCCCTAACATTCTCATAACTGGCCTTCCAGCCTCCCCTTTCTAATGCCGAGCTCATATGTTTTTGATTTTGTTATATAGAACCTTAATTTATAAGTATCAACTACTGTTTCATGTAGTTATTTCTGTGAAACAAACCAACACCAAATTTCATGACTTAGAAGAACAATCGACAGTTCTTCTGCCACATGTACTACCAGCTGGATTTTTTCTTATGACTGTTTTTGACTGGTGGCCGAGCTGAAGAGGAAGGACCACAAATGCTTTGTCCACAGGACTGACACTGAGATCTCTTGACTATCCCCCATGTACACTTTCTTTCCACACATTGTTTTATCTTCTAGGGCTTCCTCAAATATTCTCAAGGCCAGTGAATATCCTGGACTTCATTACAGTATAGTAACTAGGCTCCTAAGGATGAAAACTAAAGCTGGCAGTCCTCTTAAAGCCTGAGCTCAGAAGTCTAAGAAGGTCACTTCTGCTGTGTTGCCCATGTCAATACAAATTAGAGAGTCAGTCTACATTTATTCAGTGTGAGTGAAAATACTCTACCTCTTGATGAGAAAATTAGAATGCATTAATAGTAATGGGAAAAATTTTAAAGTCATAGATACCTTTATTTTTCTGAGTATGTATAGTATACAGACCATTTCTCAACATCTCCAACAATTGAAGTATTTTATTCATTTTGTTTGTCTATATGTGTTTATGTATGTGTTATTATTATTTTCTTTATCCACTCATATAACCAACCATTTAATTATCAAGTGGTAAGTAAATTATTTTGTTTTAAATTTTTCAAATGTGTTCCTCCATTTTGGCATTCTTTTAATTCATTTAAAAAAATCATTTGCTTGTGCTCTTACTCAAGCAATGTAACATTTTTTATTTTTCCAGTATCATCCCTATGATACAATTTTCCCCATTGCTTTCAGAATTGTTCCCCCATTGTTCCAGAAATAATCAAATAAAAATTTGATCAGTTATCACTTTAATGGGTTTTACTAGGTTTCTTAACCTAAATTCAAACTTCTTTGTGTTTCAAAGAAAGGGTCATTATAAAAATACTTCCAAATGCTTTTTCACTTTTATTTCCCACCTAGAAATCCATTAACACTACCATGCCAGCCCCCAAAAAACTACTTTTCATTTTGTATGTATCAAAATCCCCATGACTCCTTGACAGCTTATCAACCATAGAATTTTCTGGAAAAATCCTTCTCTAAACATTTTGACCCGTTAATTCATAGCTTAATTTTGCTAAGTCAGAGATGGTTATTTCTTAATCTCAATCCCCTGGCAGACACAGACAAATGTCTTCTAAGCTTACATGTCTAATTGGATATGTCACTAACAAAGCATTTATCATGCTGCACAGTGACTTTTAATTTACCTTTATTCCTCTCTCTCCTTAAATATTTAAGTTTCATAGGATCACACATGAACCAGCATCTGAGAAACCACGATACACATAGGAGGCATTCCATAAATTTTGCCTAATAAATTTCTTACCAGCTTCATTAAAATGTCCATAACACATTAAAAACATATTTTATATAAAATAAGCATGTATTATATTAGTTATAATTCTTTGGGTATATTTTAATAAAAATATATTAGTAATATTTAAAGACTATGCAATATATGAAAGAAATTCTGGTAAAATCATACCGACTGAGAAAATATCAGCATAAAGCTTTTTGTAAAAGTTTAACTTCCTTTGCAAAGAAGCTAAATATGACTATCTTCTAATGAAAAATTTAACTTCACCAGCTAGTAACAATACTATAGGAATATTCCTGTTATATAAATTCCACATTTCAATTGAAGAAATAGAGTCACTTTGTTTTCAAAACTTTGTTTTTGGTTTTTAAGCAGCTGCTGTTGAGCTCACTGTACTGTAAAATGCAGTAAATGGCTTCATTTCACTGCCAACCTATTCATCTGTGCAGGAAGAAAAGTGGTGTGCTAATTTCTTGATAGCCCAACTGCTTTGTGAAAAAGTAGAAAGCACTGCAAAATTTACATTACAAAACAAAACATGTTTAACACTGTTCTTCTGCTAGAGAAACAAATTTGTTTTCGCAAATATTTATATTTTAACAGGTCTCAAAAGGAAAAGTAGCTTATTTCCAAAGGGCTGGGGGAAGTTCAAAGTTTATAATATCCTCTTTCCACTTGTCTTTTGTCATATCTTTAAAGTAAATCTTGATTACAGGCCATTAATGCTCTGGGATTTGATCTTATACTGGGCTGTGCGAGGCTGAAATTAACCCATGACCCTTACAGTGAAGGAATAATAAGAAATACAGTGCATTTTAGAAAATAAAACATTACAAAATTGAAAACCAGGCACACCATTACATGGGAAGTCAACAAAAAGAAATACCGAAAGAGGGAGGAAAAACTAGGGTAAAAGGAAACAGGAAAGAAACCAGGGAATGCAATCGAATATAGAGAATTGAAATTGGGATAGAAGTCAAAGCTGGGAGTAATTTTCTGAACTGTTTTAAAATTGCACAGGTGCCACTGCAGAGTAGGTACAGCTTTTAACATAGGCTGGGAGAAAATTACAAAAGGAAAAAGACTAGCCTGGCACAATCAATAAAGTACTAAATATGCACAAATCTTGAATTTAAAAGAAGAAAGGCAATCTAACACTTTTGAGGGCGAAATGACTTAGATAAATCGATCTTTTTGTTTGAAATTAAAATAAACGTTACTAGTGCATTTTCCAAGGTGTGGGCATTTTCTGGAAATTGTTCTATTATTGAAAATTTATTTTTTATTTAGTTGAATGAAAGGATGAAACTTATCTAAAATGTATTTTGTTTAAAAAGTTCTAACATCGTTTCTAAATCTATACAATTTTTCAGCCAGTGTTAATAAGATATTCAATGTATTATTTGTTCCTAAGCCTAATGAGATCATGCTATGACTGTCTTAAAGAGAGCAACATCTACAAATCCTTTTCAAAAAGAAAATGTGAAGAAAAACAAATAGGACTTTGTATATTTGTGTCATATAAACCAAGTTTTGTGGTTGTCAATATTATATAACAATATAAAAAATATAGAGACAATATTTGTTACTTAAAAATATCAGATAAATGCTTTAAGAACTTTTTTAAACTTTCAAGTTCAGGGGTACAAGTGCAAGTTTGTGGCATAGATAGAGTTTTGTCAGGGGGGTTGGTTATACATATTATTTCATTGCCCAGGTATTAAGTGTATTACCCATTAGATTTTCTTCCTGATCCTCTCCCTCCTTGCACCCTTCACTCTCTGAAAGGGCCCAGTATGTGTTGTTTCCCTCTATGTGTTCATGTGTCATTTCATTACAGCACTAATCACAATAGCAAAGCCAAAGAATCAACCTAAATGCCCATTAGTGATAGTCTGGATAAAGAAAATGTGGTACATATACACCCTGAAATACTATGCAGCCATAAAAAAAGAATGAGATCATGTCCTGTGCAGGGACATGGATGAAGCTGGAGACCATTATCCTCAGCAAACTAACACAGAAACAAAACACTGAATACCATGTGTTCTCACTTATAGGCTTTAAGAACTGTTCCACTCCTGCTGAGACCTACTAACATGGTATAGCCATTAATACTGTCAATTTGCAAGCTCAGCCCTGTGAATTTCTCATGGCCACAAATGACTTAGATTCACTAACCAGCCAGATCTTACAATAGTACTGTGGTTAGGACTTCAGAACCTAGCAGGAGTGCTGCAAGTTGATGGATATAGTCACACTGGAAGCTACAGTATTCTTGTAACCTAGTAATATTCAGACTAAAGAGTATACAAGAAACATCTGAAAAGATTATTATAAATGCATATTCCCAAGCATCTCCTCTGGTTTCCCTGATTCTACAGGTGTTGAGTGGGACCCAGGAATCTGCTATATAAAAGCACCTCAGTTGATTTCCAGGGAGTCACCTAGGAATCGTACTAGAAAAAATGCTAACAGTTCTTTGCCTTCTATTTATTTTTAATTGTAACTTTTAATGTTCCTAAAAGGTTTGCAACCTGTCATTTCCATAGATATGTCCTCTCTGCCAGACAGTAGATGTCTCTGTGTGCCCAAACCTGTTCTCTGAATTGAATAAACCATCTGATACCAAGACCTGACAATTTGTTTCATCTTGAACAGGGCCAATGAATTGCATAATAATACATTTTTGCATCATAGTTTTGTTTCTGAAGAAAAGTTCATATGCATAACTAGGAAATCAAAGAAAAGTTTCTTTAAACAAATAATGATGAGATTCCAGGCTGTTGTTTACATTCTCAAATATCATTATCATTTTATATTCAGTGCCTTTATGATAATGCAGCTATGTGTCCCTTAATGATAGGTATATTGTTTGAGAAATGCATTGTTAGATAATTTTGTCATTGAATAAAGATGATAGAATGTTGTATTACTCAGTTCTCATACTGCTATCAAGAAATACCTGAGACTGGGTAGTTTGTAAAGAAAAGAGGTTTAATTGGCTCATGGTTCTGCAGGCTGTAGAGGAAGCATGGTGGTTTCTGCTTCTTGGGAGGCCTCAGGAAACTTACATTCATGGTAGAAGGCAAAAGAAAAGCAGGGACATCTTACATGGCCAGAGCAGGAGCAAGAGGGGCAGGAGGAGGTGCTATACACCAGATCTCATGAGAAAACTATCACTATACAGTACCAAGGGGTGATGGTGTTAAACCATGAGAAACCACCCCCGTGATTCAATTACCTCCCACCAGGCCCCATCTGCAACATGGAGGATTACAATTAGACATGAGATTTCACTGAGGACACAGATCCAGACCATATCAAGTCTACACACTTAGGCTATATCATATAGTCTTTTGCTCCTAGGATACAAACCTGTGCAGCATGTTACTATACTGAACACTGTCAGAAATTATAACACAATAGTAAGTATTTGTGTATCTAAACATATCTAAAAATAGAAAGGTACAGTAAAAATACATTATGAAAGATTTACAAAATGGTAAACCTGTCTAGAGCACTTACCATGTGCTCTACCAAGATCTTGCAGGACTTGCTCTGGGTGAATCAGTGAGTGAGACGTGAGTGAATGTGAAGGCCTAGAATATTACTGTCCACTACTGTAGGCTTTATAAACACTATACACTTTGACTACATTACATTTATTTTAAAAAGTATTTATTTAGTATCAAATTAACTTTCACTTATTGTAGCTTTGTACTTTATAAACTTTTAATTTTTTGACCCTTTGTCTCTTTTGTAATAACACAGCTTAAAACACACATTGTACATACAACTGTACAAAAATGTTTTCTTTCTTTATATCCTTATTCTATAAGCATTTTTCTATTTTTAAATTTGTTTGTACTATTTAAACTTTTTTGTTAAAAGCTAAGACACAAACACACACATTATCATAGGCCAACACAGGGTCAGGATCATCAATATCACCTCTTTCACTTTTGCATCTTGTCCCAGTGAAAAGTCTTCAGAGGCAGTAAGATTCATGGAGCTGTTATCTCCCATGATAAAAATGCCTTTTTGTGAAATACCTTCTGAGTGACTGCCTGAGGCTGTTTTACAGTTAACTTTTAAAAAAATATTTAAGTAGAAAGACTACACTCTAAAGTAGTGATAAAAAGTACCATAGAATAAATATATAAATAGGTAACATAGTCATTTATTAGCATATCAAGTATTATATACTATACGAAATTGTGTGTGCTATACTTTTATACAACTGAAAACACGGTAGGTTTGTGTACACCAGCATCACCACAGACATGAGTAATATGTTGCACTATAACATTACAATGACCACGATGTCACCAGGCGATAGAAATTTTGCAGCCCCATTATAATTTTATGAAACCGCTATAGTAAATGTGTGTCATTGTTGACTGAAACATCATGTGGTGCATAACTGTAAATGTAATGCAACTGTAAGCAACCAAAAAAAAAAAAAGGACAATCTTTTACAGGGTGTGTTTACTTCCAAAGTTATTCAGGGCCTGCTGGGTGGAGTTGTGGATTAAGAAGAGAGAGTGAAGGGGAACAGGAAAAATTGCTTATGAAAGAAAAGTGATTAAAAAATAGTCACAGAACAATAGCAGAAGGGAACACAGAGTAAGTTCTGTAGTCAGAGAGTTAGCAACTGTGCTCAATGAGAGTGATACTGAATCTTAACTTTGGTTTTTATTTTATTTTTTAAATTGAGAGATAATGATGACCTTTATAGCTTATGTGTTGCTTTGTCCAGTAGACATGAATATAACGGCTTTAATTATGAAAGACTATTCATGTTTTATGATTTCATGGGCTTGGCTTGTCTAACAACATCATCGTTTTCTAAATTTCACTGTGTTATATGAATTTCTAATGTAGAGGTCGTATTTATCACAGTCAATGGACGTGTCTGTGAAATACTACTTTGTCAGTCACTCTTCATGACCCATGCTATGATAAATTTGCATGAAGGCATCACCTAAGCCACTGTGTTAAATTATGGAATATGTTGAGAATAATGGTAGGACAAAAGACCCATATTTTTTATTAATGCACTTTACTGTATCTTTTCGGCTTGGTCACAATTGTGCTTACTGAAAGTTCAGCAATGACTAAGATACATCTGATTTTATCTCTGTTATTTATGTCATTTTATCATGTCAGATTTCTTATTAAGAGGCATAATACATCTGAAGTTTTCAAAGAAGTGGTGGGAAACCCAATCTCAAATAAAGACAATCCCAAAAGAATGCTGAAATATTGTGAAGTATAAATAAGTGAAATATATGTGAGTCTGTGAAAAAAAAATGGAGAAACATTAGATTAGATTAATTCTAGATATAAAGTATACATTGTAATCATACCCTGATGGAAATCAGATACCTTATACTACCATGTAGTACCAGACCGGTTCATATCTGCTGAGTTTATCATCAAGATCTTCCAAAACAGTGTTTGCATATACAAAAGTCAAGTTATAAATAGAAAACCCTAATGTCTTAACCTTTTAATGGGAGATGTATGTAAAGATAAAAAATAAAAATCCTTTACAAAAAAAAACAGCAGTACTTTATTTTCCAAAGCCATATAGATGGGTTAGCGTCCATAAAACTCATCTTTCTCCTTCTTTCCATCCACTGCTGATGTTACAGATTGCCTGACAATCTAGACAAGTGTTTCTCAGTCCCAATCTGTGCTCAGGTTCTGGGTTTGGAATATACTTTCACATGACTAAAGTAAAATAAGAAAAATATAATGAGTTTGTCATAAAGATAAATTTATTCAATTTATAAAACCACTCATTGTTGTGACATTATGACCTTCCAATCTTTTTCTTTCAAGATTGAGGCTAATTTTAAGATAGCTTTTTGTTGTTACTGTTGTTCATGTGTTTCTTTTGAGATTTGACATGACTTTTCAAGATAAAAGTGAAAAATAGTTATTGCATGTCACATTCCAAAAATTTTAAAAAATATATATACTGATCTAATACATCAGGAAATTCTAGCAGAATTAGTCTGCTCCATTCTTCTTAAGGAAATGAAAGACAGTGACTGGCAATCTGTTACACATAATTATTTATTTATTCTTCTTTATTAAACAATTTGTTGTGACTTTGGAGAAAAAAGTGGATTCTTTTGTCTCACTTTGTGACATTTTGTGAACTAATTTAAATTAACTTATATTTAACTTGATGTCAAAACACTCTGGGTCTTTTAAAATGTCAAATTTTAAAATGCTGACATTTTCTTGGAAAGAGCAAGGACCTGAATAAGTTAATTAGGAAAAAACTGGTCACACAGAGATTCCAGTGTAAAACACAGTTCATTTTTGCAGATAAGAATGTTGCCCTTGAAAGCAAGAGTCTTTTTTCAATTCAAGGCTAGAATTACCTTCAGTATGAAGCCTGATTCCACACTTCTTTCCTCTCATGCTGGGGAATATCGACTATTCTATTGATTTGTTTTGAATGAAACTCTTCATGGAGTTTCTCTATCAACTTAGCTGATAGCTACTGTTCTTAGCAGTTTCAGAGGCCCTGAGAAAACACTAGTAGCAGATCCACCTGCAGGGGTGCCTTCAGGCAGCCAGCCTACTGGTGGGATTGCTGGCAAGGTTTCAGCAAGAGCCACACTGTGAAAGTTTAAGAGTTTTTAGTTCTTACAGAACGTGGGGTATATACTGCAAGCCTGGAGGCCACACACAGGTCAGGGAACACACGGCAGGCAGGAAGAAAGGGAGGTAAAAAAGTTCTGGCAATTAACAGCGTATATGAGAAAAAGGCGTGAGTCACCTTAAATTCACAGGCAAATGCCAGAATGGTCATTTTAAGGAAAGCAGAGAGAAGGTGGGGAGCCCAGGCTTCTAGGCAGGAGAGATTCCTTTAACTTCTTATCTGTGGCCACAGGCTTGAACCATTGGTGCTGGGTGTAGAGCTGAAAACTGTGTAGAACTGAAACTGTACTGCTCTTGGTCTGAGAAAGTTAAACCTGTATTCGAAATGGATGCTAAGGCAACATAAATTCATAAGCATTCACTGTATTAGTCTGATCTGAATCTTTATTACTAATCATACAATCTCATTATTCTCATCTGTGAGGTTCTTGAGAATAGGAGCTTGTCACGGTCATCTCCACCCAACACTTTTAACTGTGCTTGCTACATGGTAGGCCCTGAATAGGTATTTCTTAAATTAATGTTGAATGAGAAAATGACAAGAAAATACTAAGAATGCAGATTTTAATCCAGAGTAAAGGTGAGAAAGAAATTGAGATTTTTACAGAAAACATTGACTCTTAAAAAAAGACTCGTACTTCATATAATTGAAACCAGTTGAAAAGTTGCTATAAAAAATTTTGAAAAGGAATCTGTGTAAAAATTATGTAAGCATTTGGAGATTATGAAAGGATGGACACATAGGCAGAGAAAGACCTGAGAAAGAGGCTAAAGCTGTTTGTTGTTATAAGAGGGATAGAAAAATAGATTGAATATTACCTTTATTTTAATTAGATAATTTGACTTTTTTAGGTATAAAAGAACGTTTTCTTAACTGTTTTATATAGTTCGTGTGGTAGAATATATTATAAAATGGATGAAAAATACTTGGTTTAGTTTTTTTTCTAATGGATATTTATAAATTTAGAATAACAATGGTGAATAAGAAGTGATGGCTCTAGCTTTCTTTACCCTGCCTTAATTTTCAATGCTTTAGGGAAATCTAAACCTAGTTAGCAAAAAATGCCTGTTAGAAGATCCATAAAATTAACATGTGTTTACAGCTAATTCCCAAAATAAAGGAGAGATAGGTCAAATTAAATCAATTTTAGCTATAAGTAATCCTGTAAATATAATGGAAATGTAATAGTGTATAGAAATGAGTATTGATTATGTGTATATTTATCTTAAATATGTATTTAATCACGTCACCCTAATTTTTTTTTTTTTTTTTCTGAGATGGAGTCTCACTCTGTCACCCAGGATAGAGTGCAGTGGCGTGATCTCGGCTTACTGTAACCTATGCCTCCCAGGTTCAACAGATTCTCCTGCCTCATTCTCCCGAGTAGCTGGGATTGGAGGCATCCACCACCATGAACAGGTAATTTTTTGTATTTTTAGTAGAGACAGGGTTTCGCTACGTTGGCCAGGCTGGTCTTGAACTCCTGTTCTCAAGTGATCCACCCGCCTCAGCCTCCCAAAGTACTGGGATAACAGGGGTGAGTAACCCTAATTTTTCTATGATCTGAAAAGCAGGAGACAAAAACGGGAGGAAGAGAAAAGGACATTTGTTTCAATGATCACAAGTCATAATCTTGTAAACAATTAAAATAATTGAAATATCCTCGCTACTACACTTCATTAAGCTTAGGATATAGACATCAAATGCTGTGACATAAATTGCATCCCCCACTTATCCACAGGGCTTACCTTTCTAGAACCCCAGTGGATGCCTGAAACTGTGGATAGTACCAAACCCTATACAAACCATACTATGTCATTTTGATAACCAAGTCTGCTACTAAGTGACTCACAAGGAGGTAGTGTGAGTGTGTACAGCCTGGATACACTGGACAAAGGGATGAGTCACATCTCAGACAAGATGAAGCAGGGTGGTGCAAGATTTCATCACCCAACTCAGAACAACTCACAATTTAAAACATGAATTGCTAATTTCTGGAATTTTTCATGTAGTATTTTCAGAATGCAACTGACCTCTGAGTAACTGAAATTGTGCAAAGTGAAACCCATTGATAAGAGGATCCTACAGAATACTGAGGGTGAATTTTTTAGGAGACGTGATGGATAATGTGTTATACTCTTACAGTTGTGTGGTCATGACTTAGGCATGAGGTGTGCAGAGTTCCACCCTGTGCCCTCATCTCTGTCTGGTGAGACTGATGGCACCTGACACTGGCAAGCCAGCCCTAGAGCAATAAGTTTGAGATAGCTCAAGGGTTATAGTCAGATCATTACAATTGGGTACAACTTGTGACCTTTACTGTGAATTCTAATTTAAATGTAATCAGAGGTGTGTAAAGCCTTGATTTCCAAAGCTGCCAATATGTAAATCTTACCTGATTTTCAGTCATTGCATTTCAAACCAGCTGGGCTTCAGTGAAATTATATTATGCCCCTGCTGGGCCATAATGATATGATTTTTCACCTGGTTTGAAACTCATACAGATCTACATGAAATTGAAACTGAAGTGAAATGTGTAAGGAGTCAACCACAGGAACCTATGGTTATACATATGTATGTGTGTGTGTCTATATATATCCAGCACAAATTATATATTTATATATATACATATATACATATATAATTATTGTTTTTTTCTCAAGTCATTGCTAACTGAAACAGCAGGCTACACACTTGTATAATCTCAGCAGGCTTGCCACAGTAGTTAATCTCACAGTCTTATCTGAGGACAACTGGGCATCATAATAAAAGAAAAGGGTCATTACTAATTGTGTTCAAGGAGGAAATATTCACTGTCAATTTATTAGGTTACAGTTATTGCTGATGGAGAATACGGCTAAAATTATCATGAGTCATGTTATTAGAGTCCATTTTATTTTCTTTTATTTCCTGTTATAAATGATAGATGGTTCTTAAACTCAGAAATTAAGATCTTTAACAAATTAAAGTTATTAGCAATTTTATATTTGAATTTTAGTGTGAAAGAGACATGGTCTCAGAGAGGATTTCCTTTTACATTTTGAAAAAAATATAAGCAGCTCAAACTAGAATATTCCTCTGGACATGATAATCACCAAGAAAATTATTTTAGATTAATGAAATAAATATTTTTAAGGAAAAAATAAATAAATAAAATGGGTCTTTAAAAAATTATGACTTTAATTTGTTGAAATATTCATTTTTGCATATAATTCTCTTTATGATTAAAAAAGATGCAATTTATGTATTTTAACATTCTTCTTCACTATGATAGCGGAATAAAAAGTATGAAGCACGTGTTGTCTAATAATTAAGTGTGCTAGACATCTTCATTTCAGCCTCTATGGACAATATAGCTTTGAAATGTGCTCCTGGTTTCAGCAGTTGAGATCTTTTTGGCTTTACCCTAGCAGGAGAAGAAAACTAGAATTGGTTTGCACACAGAATATTCCTCCTCCCAGCAATGCTGTTGGTTTTGTGCAAGAATTTTAACATTCTCTTTCCCATCCTTTATTATGATCAATATACTCAGTTCTGCTGTAACGCTTGTAAAAACTGATCCAGGCTGCTGAGCAAGCTGCTCTGCCACTTGGACCATACGATCCATTAGTTCCAATGGAGCCTGAAGCATCAGTTGTAGATAAGAATACTGTTTTTATCCTGTGACAAGTGCCCATAGGTGAATCATAACACAGTTCTTTAGGATTTTTATCAACAGTATGCTATCTTTTGCAGATAACTACTCACCTTGTGAGAGACAGAACTTGGCCTGCTACTGGGCCTTAATAGAAACTGTGCACTCGACCATGGCCCCCCAAATTATCATGACACTTAAGCTGCTCATTATAAAGTAGGTGTTATCTGACCCACTAATCTATTAAGTTGGACATGCACTGCAACAGTCTATTCTGAAATGGAAGTGGTATATACATATGATCAGGCTCAAGCAGGCCTTGAAGGCCCAAGTAAGTTACAAGAACAATTGGCCCAAATGCCTGTGGTGTTCACACCTGCTACACTAGCTTCCCCACATCTGTGGATTCAACCAGCCATAGATCAAAATTATGTAAAAAAAAAATGAATTTCACCTGTAATGAATGTGTACAGATTTTTTATCTTTTTTAAACAATACAGTACAACAACTATTTACATAGTATTTACATTGCATAAAGTATCATAAGTAATCCAGAGATGACTTAAAGTATACGGGACAATGTGCACAGGTTATATGCAAATACTACATTATTTTATATCTGAAACTAGGTTATCCATGGATTTTGGTATCTGCAGGAGGTCCTGGAACCAATCCTCCACGGTTATCAAGAGATGATTGTACTGATTCGTGGACTGTAGCTAATGGTTTGGCCAGATGGTGAAAGACTTAGAACAACCATGAGTGAAAAATTAATAACAAAAAAAAATAGTGGAATAGGTATGAGGATTGACCTCTCTAAATGGACAAAATATATAAAGATATTTGTGTTTCATGTAAATGCTCACCAAAGACTGATCTCAGAAAAAGGAGGATTTTAATAATCAAGTGAATAGCATGACCCTTTGGGGGATTCCATTCTGCTTTTTTCCATACTCAATCCTATCATTCCCCAATGGGCTCATGAACAAAGTAGCCATGGTGTCAGGGATTAAGGTTACGGCTCAGCAACATGGACTTCCACTCACCAAGACTGACCTGCCTATGGCCACTGCTGAGTGCCCAGTCTGTAGCAGAGTCCAACACTGAATGCTCAATATATCACTATCCCTTGGGGGTGATCAGCCATCTACCTGGCAGCAGATTGATTACATTGGAATGCTTCCATCATGTAAGGGACAGTGTTTTGTCCATAATGGAATTGATACTTACTCTGGTTGGATTTATCTTCCGTGCATGCTATGGTTCTGCCAGAACTATCGTCTGTGGACTTATGACCAGAATGCCTGCTCTACTCCTGTAGTATTACATGCAGCATTCTGACCAAATAACTCATTTAATAGCCAGAGAATTATGGCAATGGGCCTATGCTTGTGAAATTCACTGGTCTTATCACATTCCCCATCATCCTTAAGCAATTAGCTTGATAGAACAGTTAGATGTCTATTTTGTTTGTTTTGTTTTTGTTTGTTTTGTTTTGGGACAAGGTCTGGCTCTATTGCCCAGGCTGGAGTGCAGTGGCACCATCTCAGCTCACTGAAACCTCTGCCTCCTGGACTCAAGCCTTCCTCCCACCTCAGCTTCCTGAGTATGTGGGACTACATGTGCGTGCCACCACACCTGGCTACTTTTTTGTACTTTTTGTAGAGACAGAGTTTCGCCACATTGCCCAGGCTGGTCTCAAACTTCTGAGCTCCAATTATCTGCCTGCTTCGGCCTCCCGAAGTGCTGGGATTACAGGTGCGAGCCACCACACCTGGCTAAGATGTTTTTGAAGACCCAGTTTCAGCACCAGCTAGGTGGCAGTGCCTTGCAGGGCCAGGACTAGCTTCTCCAGAAAGTTGTATATGCTTTCAATCATATCCAATATATAGTACTTTTTCTCTGATACTCAGGATTTATGGGTTCAGGAATCATGGGGTGGAAATAAGAGTGGTACCACTTGACATTCCCATAGTGACTCAGTAGCAAAATTGTTGCTTCCTGTTTTGTAACTTTATGCTCTGCTGGCATGTAGGTAATCAAGTTCATAGAGAGGAATGCTTGTACCAGGAGACACAGCAATAATTCCATTGAACTGAAAGTTAAGCCTGTCAACCTGGCCACTTTGGGCTACTAATTCTGAATCAACAGGCGAAGAAAGGAGTTATGGGGTTGGCTGGGGCAACTGATGAGGGCTACCAAGGGGAAACTGGGCTATTCCATCAGAGAGGTAAGGAAGAGTAGGTCTAGAATATGAGTGATCTCTCACAGTATCTCTTAGTTTTATTATATTCTGTGATTGAAATCAATAGAAAATTACAACTCAATCTGGGGAGAACTACTTATGGCATAGATCCTTCAGGATTAAAATTTTGGTCACTCCACCAGGTAAAGAACAATAAACAGCTAAAGTTCTTGATGAAGGCAAAGGGAATACAGAATGGGTAGTAGAATAAGTTAGCTATAAATATCATTTATGACCTCGTGACCCTTGGGGATTGTAATTACCATGAATATTTTCTTCTTATTTTGTTATGAATACAGTTGAGAGTATATATATATATATATATATATATATATATATAGAGAGAGAGAGAGAGAGAGAGAGAGAGAGAGAGAGAGAGAGAGAGAGAGAGAGAGAGAGAGAGAGAGCAAATAGTTTTTTTTTAAATTATTCCCTTATTATGTAGTTTCTTGAGGAGCATGGCATCCAGCCATGGATACTTTAAGAAAAGTATCCAAAGGAAGGAGAGGTGATTGGGTGAGCATACTAACCAGTTCTTCCGAGAGTATATTTGTCTTGGTAAATCAACCTTAAACTATGTTAAACCCTCAGCTACTCACTCAGAAGATCAATCGTGGTAGAGTCAGACTTTCTTACACATGGGATTCTAATATGCTAATACATCTTACAAGGACACTCCTTTCGAGAATTCCAATTTAATCACTTGCCAGAACCAAAATATACTGTAGAGTAGTGCCAGCTCAAGCCACTATTTTTTTACATAGACATACTACACAGGTCATCTAATTAAATGTAAATTGAATATTAAGTAGGGATTCAGGTTAATAGGGTTTAACGTATTCCTCTTTTATTGGCAATATTTCTGATATTTTTCTAACTTCAGCTTAGCAAAAGACATAAACATACCAAGTATAGAGGGCATCACTCTATTCTTGGTAGAAGTTGTGTTGACACTGCTAAAATTGGCCTTTATAAATTTCTGTCTTTGTTCTAATTGTTATGTAGCCACTTTTTTGACTTAACATATTTTTCTCTTTTTGCATGTAAATGCCTTCAATACAGATGAGGTTCAACTGTTTCTTTACAATATAACTCCTGGGAATACTATCTTTAATATTTTTGTTTAATATTCAAAGTTATCTCTTTTCTCATATTTTCAGTATTATTTTACTATCTCTCCAATAATACTGTCTATAATTACTGCTGAAGTTTTACATTTTAAATATGTTAATTCGGCATTTGTTTTAGATCTCTGGGTTCATAAAATTTGCTGATTTTTCTGTTGGGAGATATAATGTTTTACTTTCAGATATATAGATGAGAATGTAGCCTACACATTTTTCTTAACTTGTAATTTTGCTTTGATTTTGGTTATGATTCCTTTGATATAAAATATATTTTCATTAGTTCTCAAATCATTGTTTATTTCCTTTTATTACCTTGTGCTTAGAAACCCCCTTCTATGCAGATAGTATATAAGTACTGTGTGAATTTGCTTTAATATTTACATTATCATTTAATTTTAAAAACTTATTTTGGAAAGTGAGTAAAGTATGAGAATTTCAACTGATTTTTCTACAAATATTTTAACTGAGGTCATACTATTATTATCTTATTGCTTCTTTCTCCATTACCTAATGTCTTAATAACATTTTTAGGAAAAAAATACTTCATGTCATTTGATTCATCATCATATATTTTATCATATGCATGAAACAATTTCATTATTTTGAATATAACTCACTTTTATATTATATTTTACTGTGTCACTATGACACCTTTATTTGGTCTGCAGTATTTTACTACACTAGCCTTCAGAGTCTTAATCTCAATGATTAATCTGGGATACCCAGAAGTAACAAGAAGTTAACATTATAAAATAGAAATCAAAATAGAAAAGTGTAAAGAGAATGAAAAAAGGGTGACCCTATAAAGCTGTGTAAGCTACTTCCAATTGCCCTTTTGACATTTTACTTATCATTTTAAACCCATCGGCTTCTGAAAAGCATTTAAGTTATTACTTCTGTGAATGACAGTAATTTAATTTTTGAAATGATTCTGAATGAATTTGTTGTTGCAAAAATTTCTGTCCTTGTAACCATTTTGCCATTATTTCTCAAGGTAAGTAAAAGGCAGATATCACTAGGGGAAATGAAGGGTATGATGTAGCGTTCTTTCCCATCAGGATAGAAGGAAAAATGGAATGTCTTTCCTTGGTGGAGTTGGTGGAGAAGAGAAAGCTGCAAGGACAAGGCAAAAGTCCTTTCCCAAAGATCCAACATTTCTACTCACCAGGGTAGAAACAGTGTGGTTGAGGATACACAGATGTCGGGGTACAAACAAATACATCTACTTGTTTCTTTTCTTGAGGAGGGAGGTAGAAGCAAAGGAAATTTTGCTCTACTTTGTATTTGGAGAATATTATAGATAGAGTGCCTTAAATCAATGTGGGTTAGCTTTAGGAGAAGGTATGTAATAATTTTATTTGTTTCCCTTATTTTATCTCAAAGAAATGGAGTATATCTCTCTGTGCTGAGCTGCCTGGAACTGTGGGGGAGGCGTCATAAGCACCCCTGTGGCTGCCACCACTGGGACTGCACTGGGTGAGACCAGAAGACTGCATAGCAATGGGTCTCACACAAGGCCCACTGTAACTACTACCTTGCTATCACCTGGCTATATTCATTTGGGGGTCTAGGGCCCTACAATCAACAGCTGGTGAAGTCAGCCAAGCTTGTGCCTTTCCCTTCTGGGTGGAGAGTTCACCATGGCCCCGGGCAGGTTCAGAGATACCATCTTGAAGCCAGAGCCTAAAGTTGAAAACCTTACAAATATACCTATTACTTTATTCTACTATAGCTGAACAGGCACCCTAGCCACAAGCCAAATTCCTTCCAACTCTTCTCTTCCCTTTACACAAGCACAGTAGTTTTTCTCCACGGCCACCGCCACAGGCCCATTAAGCGTATTGCCAGATACTGCTGATTTTCACTCAAGGTCCAAGCGTTCTTCAGTCAGCTTGTGATAAATGCTTCCAGTCCTGGTACTCACCCTTCAGGGCATTGGACTCCCCTCTAGCCCAGGACAGATCCATAAACACTGTCCAAGTGTCAGTGCCTGGAATTGGGGATGTCAAGAACTCACTTAGTGTTCTACCCCTCTGTGCCTGAGCTGGTATGTACGCTGCAATATAAAGCCTACTTTACTCTTCCCTCTGCTTTTCGCAAACAGGAGTCACTCCTTGTATCCACCACAGCTACAAATGTACTGGATGACACCTGAAACCAGTACATCTCAGAGTCTCACCCAAGGCCCATGGTGTGTACTACCTGGCCACCGGTGCTAATTATTCAGGGCCCAAGGCCTCTTTAGTCAGAAGCTGAAAAATTCTGCCAGGACTGGGCCCTTCCTTTCAAGCCAGTGGATTCCATTCTAGCCCAGGGCACTTCTAGAAATGTCATCTGGGAGTTGGTGTCTGAAATAGATGCCTAAGGACACTTCCTGATTCCCGATTCTATGGTGGTTCAGCTGGTATCCAAGTTGCAAGACAAAGTCATCTTCACTCTTCCCTCTCCTCTCCTCAAGTGAAATGAAGCAATCTTTTTCGGTACTGCATGCTGCACAGCCTGGGGCTGAAGAAGAGGTGGCACAAGCACCCCTACGGATGGCATAGCTGGTGTTTCCTTAGGTTGTGAGCCCCCTAAGTTTACTGGCTCTAAGCCTATCACAGCACTGAGACTTGTGACCTAGACTGCCTTTCAGGTTTGTTCAGAACTTCAGAGCACTTTGGCCCATGGTGTCAAGCCTTGCTGAAACTCTTATTCTGACCACTGGAATTGACAATTCTCTTTTGTCTGGGGCTGGTCTATATGCTGCCTCCATGGGCATCAATTGAGTTTTGCCTGCTGTTGCTTTCCACTGGGGTCAGGGCAGCTCTGGGTTCCAATACAGAGTCCCACAGTCACTTCACTCTCCCTCCACGAAACACACAGATTCTGTTTGTACCACATGGCTGCTGGGGAATGGGAATGGAATGGCATTGGCTTGTAAAGACTGTCTTTTTTTTATCTTCTTCATTGCCTCTTTCTGTGATATAATATTAAAACCACACACTCTGATAGCTCACCTGAGTTTTAGTTATTAGGAAGGTGGTTTTTGTATAGATAGTTGTTAAATGTATTGTTCTTATGGGAAGGACAATCTGTGGAGAGTTTTATATGGCCATCTTGCTCTGCTTTCCTTCTAATTCCTCTATCGGAATTTTATTGATCAGAGACTGGGAGGTTAGCTGTGCAGGGTCTCTTGGTCACTGGATATCCAACTGCAATCAACTGAGTATTAGTAATTAAGAATCCTTATTAATGGCCTCCTGATGGTAAGTCTATTTTTATTCAGCACCTTGGTTCTTAGGATGGAAGGCAACCGAATGCCACTTATGTACTTCTAGTCATCCCATTTCTTTCTTTATGGTAGTAGTTATGTCTTGACATTCTCTTCCCTCTTCCCCAAATCTACTTCATATAATTGCTTAGAATAGTAAGAGTTCATCATTCTTGTATGCATTTTTCTGTATAGTATTTTGAGAAAAATATTTTAAAATAATACTCACATATTGCCTTGATTTCATAGAAGGCTGAGATGATACTATTTTCTCCTAGAGATTTGAAGACATTTCTCGTTTTAGTATTGAGTGTTGCATAAAATGTGAAGCAAATTTAATTATGGTATATATTGTATAATTTTATAATTCTTTTAAAGGTTTTCAGAATTTTAATTCAACACTAAAATAACAGTAGAAATCGTTTTGAAAGATATTTTGTCATTCCTACTAAGCCCATTTGGTGGATTTAATTTGAGGATAGTGTTTCTCTTCAAGTTTTCACATATTTTATTTTAATTTTGGCTTCCGTTTTGTTCTCTATTAAGCTCCTGCTGGAATGCGTTCTGAAATGTACGCTAGTCACAGATTAGTCTTATTTGTTTTCCATAGATACTACTTTTTCCATAATGTGGTTCGGGTTTTTCAAATTTCATGTTTCGTTTTGTCAGACATCTGGGCTTGATTCTGTGGTTCACTACATCAATTGTTAGCCTTGTTTTGTACACATAAGTAAATTTATCAAGGCACAAGAATACAGGCCAATATATAAATATCAATTGTATTTCTAGACACTAGAAAGATCAAGTTGAAAATCAAATTATAAAATAATGTTGCATACAATAGCATAAAAATGTAAAACGCATAGAATAAATATAACAAAAGTTTGTAGGACCTCTCGATTGAAGATTGCAAATTTTAATGAAAAAAAGTCCTAAACAGAGTGATATACATTTACATGTGTAGGAAATCTCAACACTGGTAAAATTTTAATTCTTTCCAAATTAATCTATAGATCGAATGCAGAACTCACCAAATCGAGGCAAATCTATAGCTTGTGACCCATCAATCACACTCCTGAGCATATGCTCAAAAGAAACTAGTGCATATGTTCACCAAAATTGCATAAATTTTCATATAAATATTTTTCTTAATAGCCAAAGTTTAAACCAGATCAAATGTCCATAAGAAACCTTAGAATGGGAAAATTCATTGCCACAGTGTGGATGAATCTCCTATTCTTAATATTAATCAAAAGAATCAGATACAAAAGAAGGAAAACCATATGATTTTATTTATATGGATTTCAAAACAAGTAAAATTAATCAAAGATTACAAAAGACAGAATGGTCGCTAACCTTATGCCGAGAGAGGGAGCAGTAATACTAACTAATTGGAGGGATAAGGAACTTTCTAGTGTTGAGTACATTTCTATATTTTTGTTCAGTATTGGTTACAGAAGGATATGCACATTTAAACATGTATTAATGTATCAACTTAAGACTTTTATAATTTATGAAAATTGAAACAAAATCCCTCATCAATCTAACATGCTACTGTATAAGGTAAATCTCTAAGAGAAAGTTTTACAATGAGTCCTTTCTCAAGCTTATTAGGTAATGATTTGTGTGAACTGGTTTTCAGATAGTATGATAAGAGACAAGCAAGTGAATTGGTTCAGATATCTAATTTAGGAAAAGATTAGCAGATAATAACCAGGCTTAGGAGGAAGTTGAAAATACCTTGTTGAACTAGGATCTTTGGTATGAAAAAAAGGTATGAAAAAAATTATTAGCAAAACTTCAGGAGAATTTTTATAAGAATATTTCCACTTAAGATCATAAAATTTGGCAGCCAAAGTAATTATTTCATTGTACATGCAAATTTTATCTTTCATTTGCCCTTCATCAGAATTGAATCATTAATCTGTGTATAATAAAATGACCCATCCACTTGAGCAACAGAAATTACCTAAGATATTTTTAATTATTCTATTGGAATACAAATATCAAAATATTGAAGCAGCTGAGAAATCATGGGAAATACTTTAATACTTTATATAGTAGGTACACCCATGAATTCATTACATCCAATGCTGAATCCCCTCCCAGTCAATAGAGTAACTTAATCAATTCACATTTACTCTCTTTTACTTGAAAACTCAAATATTGTTGACTCAAATATATGTTGAAACATATAAATATAATTGCAAATTTCTCTGTTTCTTCCTAGGCCAATTGTTCATATTTTATTGTGTCTTGCTACTGTCTTGCCAGAAACATAGAGCAGTCATTAAATAGATGGTCTTTTCTCCAGTTTTCCAAGCCTCCAGGCCTTCTCTTACACTCCCACTAAGATAATACATCTAAGGTGCAAATCTAATCACACTGATATTCTCTGCTGATAATTCCCCACATGTGTAACAATCATATAAATGTACTTTATTTTATTTAAAGTATATGAATATGTCAAAAATCACTAAAGACGAAATTATTTTATAAATGGCACATTGCCCTAAGTTATCATCTGTATATATTCTGGCATTTACATATTTTCCTTTGCATGTATTTATGTAAATATTGACATATTACTAAATTGAAGATAAGAACTGCTACAATTTAGCATCTATTGGTCCTTGAGCTATGTTCAGCAGCCAAACAGATAAAAATGAAAATCTTTAGTCTTCCAGTTGCATGGCATACATATTGAACTTCAATAAAATAATTTCACTATCAACTACAATAGTAATTTGTATATTATGATAGTCACCTAATATCCTTTGGTAAAATTACAAAGTTTAAATAATGTGTAATATACCTATAATGCTGATCCCAAAATATATAAGCTGTTTTGTTAGTATGTTTCCTGCATTTATTGGCTAATAGCTTACCAAAGGTATGAAGCTATTATATTTTCTAAGAAATAGCAGTATAGATAGTCCATTATTCCATAAACCAGGAGTCCCCAACCCTTGGGCCGTGAACCATAAAGCCAACAAAGCTTCATCTGTGTTTACAGCCAATCCTTATCACTTGCATTACTACCTGAGCTCTATGTCCTGTCAAATCAGCAGCAACATTAGATTCTCATAAGAGCATGAACCCTATTGTGAACTGGACATGCCATGTCAGTGTCTCCCATCACCCCCAGATAGGACTGTACAGTTGCAGGAAAACAATCTCAGAGCTCTTACTGATTCTACATTATGGTAAGTTGTATATTCATTTCATTGTGTATTACAATGTAATAATAGAAATAAAGTGCACAATAAATGTATTTGAATCATCCCATAACAATTCCCCCACCCCTGGTCCATGAAAAAATTTTCTTCCATGAAACTGCTCTCTGGTACCAAAAAGGTTGGGGACCGTTGCTACAAACAATACATATTTAGATATAAAAACTAAATAATACTGATTTGAATAAAAATTATGAAAATAATCTCTTTGATTTACAAACAGAAACTATATCATTGTTTTTATCAATTAGGTCTAATGAGTAACATAATATAAAATAAAAATCAATGATCTCTTAAAGTTCAAACAATTCGCTACTGCAAATTAGCTCTGAAATACATAAATTATCCTAAGAAAAGTAGTCAATAAAAACAATATTTTTTTCCAAGTAATATACTGACCAATTATAAGAGTAGGAGTCCTGTTCCAAAATTATAGATTCAAGGTTTTTCAACTATTTCTACCTTAACTCAAAGATTTGAAAATCCCATCAACTAAAGTAGAAGGGGTTTACCTAATTTTTAGGTTTAATATTTTAATAAATTAGATATAAAGTTTATTCACTAGTTACTAATTAAATTATTGTCAATTAGTTTTGATAAGCCACTCAAATAGCTTTAAAGGGAAAAGAAACTTATTCAACAGATTTTGTTTTGAAACAAACATTGGGAATTGCAACCCAATCAATATTAGAGTTCAGTTTTAACAATGGATTCCATTTATTTAGAATGTAATTAAAAGTATACATTTTAAGTAGAAACTTTATCAACTAAAATATTTTTTTCTAATTCTCACATTACTGTTTAATATCTAGTTATTAAACAGTAATCACTAAGAGTTGTCCAACACTAATTAGACACAAGTTTAAATCTGATCATTTCCTTTCAATCACTCTGGTAAGTACTCCTCTTTTTTCCTATACATTAAGATTAACTAGATATATTTTTTTGCTTCATTGAGTTAGCTATTTTTAGCCATTATAGTATTAATGTATTAGGCACATATTGATGCTTTACAAAGGCTTTTGAACTTCAGAATTTTCCATCGAGATAAAATCATAAGTGATCATTAACATGTATACTTACAAATCATCAGAGAAATGCAAATTAAAACTACAATGTGGTATCACCTCATGCCTGTTAGGATGGCTATTACAAAAAAGACAAAAGATAACAAGTGTTCTTGAGGATGTCAAGAAAAAGAAACTCTTGTACTTTGTTGGTGGAAATGCAAATTAGAAAACAATATTCATGTTCCATAAAAAACTGAAAATAGAATTAATAGAGGCTCCAGGAATCCCACTTCTGTGTATTTATCCAAAGTATTTGAAATCAGTATGTCAAAGACATGTGTGTATTTCAACGTTCATTGCAGCATTATTCATAATAGCTAAAATGTGGAATCAACCTAGGTGTCCATCAACAAATAAAAATATAAAGAAAATGTGGTATATATACACAATAGAATGGTATACAGCCTTTAAAAAGAAGAAAATTCTGACATTTATGACAACATGAATGAACATGGGGAACACTTACTGGAACAGTAAAATATTCCAGTCAAAGAAGCACAAATACTTCATGATCTCACTTATATGTGTAATCTAAAGAATTCAAATTCAGAAGTACTGAGTAGAATAATGGTTGCCAGAGACTGTGGGGGAGAGGGTGAGGAGAAAAGGAAATACTGGTTAAAGGGTACAGAGTTTAAATTAAACAAGAGGAATTAGAAGATCTATTGATATCATAGAGACTATAGTTAATAATAATGTAATTTATATTTCAAATTTGCTTAAAAAAATTTAAATGTTATCACCATAAAAAAATAAGTATATGAAGTAATAGATATGTTAGCTTCATTTATTCACTCCACAATGCATATCTATATCAAAACATCTCCTTTTACTCCATACATGTATACAATTATTACCTGTCAATTAAAGTTTTAAAAATTAAAAAATAATAAACTATTTTATCAGTTAACCAGAAAATACCCAAGATATTTTACATTAATTACCTGTACAAACTAAGTTTCATAAACCTTAATAAGAAAACATCACAGATCCAAGAATTAACATTTTCTGGAAGAAACTTTACATGCTATAGGAAGCCATGGAATCTTCCACTCTAAAGAATATAATTGGCCTAGAGATTATCAAATTGGGCTTAATTATCTTTAAAACATCTATTTTTATCAAGTACATTATTTGTATTTTTACACTGAATTTTTGAGCAATATACTTTTGAAGAAAATATGTTATTTCATGTTTTTAAAATGTTCAAAATTAACTTCAGATATTAAACATCATAATAGAAATTGATTCTGGGAAAATGGCAACATGGACAGGATTTTGTAAGATACTCGCTAGAAGAGATCAGTGTGCTTAAGTAAATGAGTATATTGGCCCTGTATTAAGATGCCCAATCTCCTATATCTCAAAAATACCAAAACGAAACAACAAACAACAGCAGAAGCACTGAAAGGGTGTTCTTATTCCTCCTGGGCTCTGAAGACTGGGATATAGAAAGGTTTCCTCCAGGCCCAGTGGAGCAGTGATAACCTGCTTTCTTGATGGTGCTTGTTTTTTGAGAGAGAGACTATTTGCCCTAAATTGCTTATAGGATTGTGATGACACAGAGAATGGAATTTAAAATTTTTCTGCATAGTGGAGGACTCAGGGTAGTTCAAAACCAACAAACAAAAAATACAATCACAACAACAACAAAATGATGTTTATTTCTATTGGACCTCACCTCTCCATTCCAGCCAATGGAGATTCTGGTTTAAGCGTATCCAGTAGAGCCTAGATACTGAGATTTTGAAATGTCTTACCAGTTGATTCCAACATGGAGCAAATTAAAAATCACTGGGAAAAGGGAGCATATGCCAAAAGCTATAACTAAGGCCATTTGAACTGCAATAGTGGAAAAAAATAATAAAAACCTCCAAGGCTTGCACATCATTCTAAGAGGGGATGATTAATAGGTCAGAACAAATAACACACATGTTCAAAGAAAAATAGTTCCCAAAAAAGGAAATTACAAATTGAATGGAAAAAAAAATGAATAAAAGGTTAATGCTTTAATTGCTCAAAAACTTTTTCTAAACATTTTCCAATTAAATTATTCAGTAGACCCTAATGTCTATCACATTGTGAAGGTGATATGAGTGATCATCATAAGCAAATCATTTTTGTCATCTCTGTAGTTCACTTTTCTCTTAAACTACATCAAATAGGTTTTGGTTACTTGAAGGCAAATCATTTCTTTGATCACTTCATGAGATGGTCAGGGAGTGAGAATATTTGTTGCCGAAGCACCTGCTGTGTGAACATTTCTGCACACCAAGTGATGACAGGAGTTGAGGTGGAGAGGAAAGTGAACAGAAATGTAGGAGTTTTGAGTGTTTGAAATAACTAAATTGAAGTTTGAGTAAATAAATTTAAATAATTTTTTGTTTAATTCAGGAGTTAAAAGTAAAAAATAATGAAAATAGTGAAAATGAGGTTATTATTTTACCAGGGTTGTACGATTCACCTTAAGCTAGTTTTGAAGTTGCCCATTCCTTTCTGTAGTAAATCTGTATTCTAAGCTGGAAATTAAAGAGATAGGGGAAGAAATGGAACTGAGTGGTTATTTATCCTTGTGTCTTTGGACAAGTAATTTGGATTATGAATGGCAGCGACAAAGTTGATTTGTAATTTGTATTCCGAACTGCTTTCAGGTGGTAAGAGCCTTTTGGTGTGTGTCCATGAACCATTTAGATAAAAGTAATTTTTAGCATTAGATATACTGAATTAATGCACAAATATGCTGACAATTTTATGTATCATAGAATGCATTTTCTACTTACGTTCATTATGGATAAAGAAAAGGTAGTAGATTTTAAATTCCTTTAACACGTATTTGACTTCAGCACTCAGAAACACTAACTATTTTTATTAAGTGTACATACTGGCTGCTTATTAAACGGTACGTGAAAAAACATTTTGTTTTTCACAAACTACAATTGGCCCTTTCCTTAGGGTATTATAATGCAACTAATTCAATTGTTTTCCTATACTGTTAACTCTATTTTCCAACACTAATATAATTGTAATAAGAAATAAAACAAGTTGTTCAAAAGATTTCTTATTCTACAAAAATGGCCCATATGTTCTTCAGAAGAAAATCATGTAAACTTCTAGTGACTACTTTTCAGAATCATACTGTTTTCTACCTTCTCCTAAAAAGTATTCTAAAATTAACTCCCCTTGAAATAATAGGATAAAGATTATGCCAATGATTTCAAGATTTTGAAAAATAAACATTTTAGACTCAGGCTATAATCAACTTAATCATATATGTAAGATTTTTTTCAGTGATTTTTTTTTACTTAGGAAACAGTAATGAAAAGTGTCTTCCTTATACACTGGTACAAAATAGTTGTGTTTTTATTCTTTTTAAAATTTTTATTTTAAGTTCAAAGGTACATCTGCAGGTTTGTTACATAGATAAGCTTGTGTCATGGGAGTTCATAATAAAGACATGGAATCAAAATAAATATTTCTAAATGAGTCATGCTGTTTACTTTTGGAGGTGCCTATAATGAGAAATTAATAATATGGCCAGGCATCGTGGCTCACACCTGTAATACCAATGCTTTGGGAGGCCGAGGCCGGTGGATCACCTGAGGTCAGGAGTTCAAGACCAGCCTGGCCAAGATGGTGAAACCCCATTTCTACTAAAAATAGAAAAAATAGCCAGGTGTGGTGGCAGGTGCCTGTGATCCCAGCTACTCGGGAGGCTGAGACAGGAGAATTGCTTGAACATGGGAGGCGGAGGTTGCAGGGAGCCGAGATCGTGCCATTGCACTCCAGCCTGGGCAACAAGAGTGAAACTCCATATCAAAAAACAAAACAAACAAAACAAACAAATAAAAAAAAACCAAGAAATCACTAATATGATTAAATGGTATTACGTGCCCCCACGCCTTCTAATGCATGGCCAGTGAGTTCTGGACTTTTCCTCTCTTTTCCTGGCAAGAAAGATGTAGTGCATCTTTGTAGGTAAGTA
This sequence comes from Homo sapiens, assembly GCF_000001405.40. NCBI lineage: Eukaryota > Metazoa > Chordata > Mammalia > Primates > Hominidae > Homo > Homo sapiens. The sequence goes on along the minus strand of NC_000005.10, from coordinate 20,662,552 downwards.
AAAGTGTGTGTTTTGTTTTTCTTTAAAAAAGTTCTTAGAAACTGGATAGATATTTTTTGGAAACTGGAGAAACCTAGGTCAAAAGCGCATAGGAGAATGATGAAGAATAAATAAAAACCTGAAGAGACAATGGTAACTGGAAGCCTAACATAAAGTTTAATAACAGATCCTGCAGGTACATTGCCCAGAGTATGAAACCTGACTCTACCACTTACTAGTCTGTGATGTTAGCACAGTTAGCTACAATTTCAGTACTCAATATACTGATCTGTAAAACGACCATAATATTGGCCCACTGCATAATGGCCACTATGAATATTAAGTGGATAATATTTCTAAAGTATTTAGAATGGTGCACAGTCCATAGTGTTTATTCTGTAAGCATATGCTCAATATATAATGAAAGGCAATCATTCTTTCAAGTTTTCTTATTCTTTCTCACATACACTTCTCCGTTTTTTCTATTTTTCTACATTTGTAAATAAAATGGCTTTCTCTGATTTTGTAATGTGTTATTGAGCACATACGTTCATGCCGACATTAAAGACAGATCAATGTTTTTGAGAATACTGACTAGTTTAAAATTTAAGGTAATGATAATTTATTGGCTAAATGCATATCAAGAATCTAGTGGTAATCCCATTAGCTATAAGACAGTTTACATGCTGTACTATGCATTTATTCCTTTTTTCTCAAATTATGCTGAAGCAAACTAGGGACTGTCATAAATTAGAAAGAAACAAAGTCGCATGCAATAAGCAAATTGCTTGTAACAAATAAACGGTTGACTATGTGAATTTAATTGTATACTTTGAAATAATGTTCTACATCTCATGAATTTTATATAATTGCATTGATAAGTAACTTGCTAGTTCTTAAAATAGCATACTTCCAGAAAGCACATAACTAATAAATTGTTACTACATACAAAAATGGGATTATTCATTTTTAAATCATAATAAATAAATGTCTTAAAGCCCAGTAACTGGCAAATTACAGTAAAAACATTCTTTACTAACACATCACTGTAATAAAGTGGTTTGCCAAATCATTCACAACAAATTGGGTCTCCAAAGATACAATTAATTTAACTGACATTCACAAATCAACAGCAAGAATGACAAAATACAAAATAATAAATAACTGAAGACAATTCTGATGATGCCTTGATATTGACAATGAAAACGTTTCTCTAAAAATTGTAGAAACTTAACCCCTAAGCGGGTGTTCAGGCATAATAGGAACTCGGCAATGTTACCAAGTTAAATGTCTCAGCCCATATTTATTTTATATATGGCCAAGCTTCATTGTTTGTGGATTCCATATTTGCCACTTTGCTACTCACTAAAGTTTATTTCTAACCCCAAGATCAATATCACACTACTAATGACTAAAAGTCATCTGAGGACATGTGCAGAGTGGCAAAAAATGTGAGTGCTCTAAGTACACTTTCCCAACTGAGTTCACACAAGGTAACAGCGCGCTTTCTCGTCTCAGCTCTCATAGGATAAACAAGTGTCCTTTTCACGGTATATTTAATGTCATGTTTTTCCATTTTTGTGCTTTTTGTTAGTGATTTTGCTGTTTAAAATTACTCCCAAGCATAAGGGTGAAGTGCTGCCCAGGATAGGAAGCACAAGACTGTGATGTGTCTTATGGAGAAAATGCATGTGTTAGATTAGCTCCATTCAGTCACTAGTTAATGGTGCTGTTGGCCATGAATTCAACGTTGATGAATCGATACCAGTGATACACCCAAAAAAAGCAACAGGAAACTCACTGACCTGCACATGACGCTGCTCCAGAATGTCTTAAAGTAACATCTGCAGTGAGTGATGAGTCTATTGGAAAGATAGAAAGAGGTTAAATTTGTGGGTTCATAAGATAATGACCAATAAGTAAGCTCAGTGGACAGCATTGTTGTAAGGCTGAAAGCCAAAGAAGTTGTAGGTCATGTGACCCAGGGTCAGGGAAATGTTAGAAAAAAAGGCTGGTGATTTACCATTATACAGGAACACTGCATATAATTGATTAGTTGTGAAAAATGGACATGAAATAAGGTCTATTTTAAAAGAAACACACATAAAACAAAGTTATTTGTTGATCAGTAAATGAAAACGTCACCAGCAGCTCACAGGAAAATTAACCCTGTATTTCTCCCAGAAGCAGTGGCACAATATTTTCTAATTATATATACATACACACACGCACACACACACACACACACAGAATATATATGTGTATATATACATATGACTGTATACATATGCATATACATACATATATAAAATCTCTGTTAGGCTACTAGCTATCATTAAACTTTTAGAATGATATATAATTCATATATATGTACAATTTATATGTACATATTCCTAGTGAAATAGAGAGGAACTATTCTAACTTATACTCTTATTGTTCAATATCTGGAATGAATATATTTTCCTGTTTTTTTATGGCCTTCAGCTACTTCCTCTTTCAACCAATCTGCTAATCACAAAATATCTGCTCATTTATTTTTAAAAACTCCATTTGATATGGAAAAATATTATACTATGTTAGATTTTTACTTAAAAACAAAACAGTTTAAAACGATCAACTCATGACCGGGTGCGGTGGCTCACGCCTGTAATCCCAGCTCTTTGGGAGGCCGTGGCAGGCGGATCACGAGGTCAGGAGATGGAGACCATCTGGCTAACACAGTGAAACCCCATCTCTACTAAAAATACAAACAAATTAGCCAGCCATGGTGTCACATGCCTGTAATCCCAGCCACTCAGGAGGCTGAGGCAGGAGAATTGCCTGAACCTGGGATGCCAAGGTTGCAGTAAGCCGAGATTTCACCACTGCATTCCAGCCTGGGTAACAGAGCAAGACTCCATCTCAAAAAATAGATAAATAAATAATAAATAATAATCAAAAATAATAAATTATCAACTCATAGGATATGTTTTGGCTACTTAAAATTGTGTTTAATATTTTCTCTCTGTTCTATTGTATCTTATTTCTTACTACACTTAAATATGCATTCTCTATTAAAGTATTGTGGCTTCTTGTGTTTTGATAAACTTTATTCCTTTTCTTATCTTCAATTTGCTGATGGTCAAAGCATGGGTAAAACTCAACAACAAGCATCAGGGTAGAGAAACAAAAATGCCAGGAGGTAAAATTTTTCCAGGTTCTGTGCTGGTTTTTGTAGCTTGAAGTCGAGAAGTCTAATGCACAGTGTCAAAATGAACATTGTAAACTCCACTTTGGTTTTCCTGAGATTCTGTTATTGATGTGGGTAAAACATGTGAGTAGAAATTATGAATTCTTTATGGAGTTATGTCAGTAGTGATGTTTCTGAGAATTCACTCCAAACCCAATAGCCTGTTGCTGGGAATATAAGAAATAGCAATCAGTAACCTAAGGGAAGGGAGAGACACAAACTTGCTGGAATTTCAATACTCTTGTCACATAGTCTGAAATTCAGAGACATGATTGATTTACTGGAGTGTTTGGATCTATAGATGCTTCTCAACATATAGTGAGGTTTGACTGGTAAACCCACTGTAAATTGAAAATATCGTAAGTAAAAACTTCATTATATACACCTAACCTATGGAACATAATAACTCAGCCTAACATAACTCAGACATGCTCAGAACACTTACATTATCCTACAGTTAGGCAAAATCATTGAATATAAAGTATAATTTATAATAAAAAGTGTTTAATATAATTTACTGAAAGCTATACTTAAAGTGAAAAACAGAATGATTGCCTGGGTACACACATAGAATATATATGTGTATATATACATATGATTGTATATGTATGTATATACATATATATATATATTCTTTCTGTTAGGCTATTAGCTATCATTAAACTTTTAGAATGATATATAATTCCTATATATGTACATTTATATCTACATATTCCTACATTCAGTAGAAGTACGGTTTCTACTGAATGCATATTGCTTTCACACCATAGTAAAGTCAAAAATTTTATGTCAAACCATGGCAAATTGGGGACTGTCTATAATCTGGAAGAACAGCCCAGGAATATAAAGGAGTTCAAGCCTGAACTTAAAGGGAAATAATGTAATTCAGGGTCAAGGTGTCAGTGAAGGCTGAGTACAGGACCAGGATAACACAGATCTGAGCAATAAGAAGGCTAGTGTTTTTATATAATATTCTCTGGCCAAAATTTTGTCAGGGAAGAAGTAATCTTGGGGCAATAGGTGGAAGAAAATAGCAACTACAGCTATTGAGTATAAGAGAGACACGTTGACCTTTTTGCCTATAATACTTTTTCTACATACCTCCCATATACTTCAGCACCCACTCACAAATAACGAAATAATAGAGTTGATATATAGTCATATTATGTGTTTATCCTATGGTTGATCCAATGAAAATTGAGGACAGATAATTTATATAAACTAATTGTTCATTTATTTCTTTCCAGTTTATGTTAGTTGCTTTCCATTTTATGCTTCATTTATTTGTGTTAATTTCCATTTATAAATATCAGCAAAGAGTAAGAAATCAATTGTACTTAAATAATAAAAGGAATACATATGTTTTGTCTCAATCTGGCCTTAGAGTCAGTAGATCAAACATATTAATCAAAGATATTAAAGCTTTTACATTTTTCAAAAACATTTTATTTTGAATTCTGACACACTTTGGAAAATAATATTTATGTTTTATACTTATAAAATTTGCAAAACTGCAAGCTCTTTATATCCATACTTTATTTTTAACTCCTTTAAGCCCACTCATAATTAAAACCAGACCTTTTCCTATACCCGCACAAAAGAAAACTATAAATTTCAGAACTGTGTAATGTACTAGAGAGGATAACACAGTATTTGAGTGTAATGGTGATCATCCCTCTCCCTTTCAGAATTTTGTGACAATAAACAGAGAGTTTTGCATTACTTTAAATGTGAAAGATTACCTGTCTTCTCATATTTTATTCATTAATTCATTCAGCAAATATTTATTAAGTTATACTATGTGCTAAGCATTGTCCTAGGTTTGGAAGATCTATCACTGAACAAAACAGACAAGCACCTCTGCCCTCAGGAAGCTTTAATTATATAAATGCCACCAGAGAGATGAAAGATCAAAACTACATTTTTATTTGTAAATCCAGGACAATAAAAATGTCTGGTTTACAATATGTGCTAGAGATCCTGAATAAATCTTTTCTACACAGAATTATACTTATCCTCCTACATATTAGGTGTTATTGGCAGCTCCATAATTTATATATGAATGAATATGGACTTTTTTTCTGCATCACTTTCATTGTGTTACATATTTAGAAAAGTTTCTAACAAATGTTGTCCATAGATTATGTCAAATTCATAAATAAATAATGACTAAATATTGCCATATCTGAAACAAAATACATGAAAATGTACAAATATGTATTTTTTATACATGTGCATATGTAATAAGTGCATTATGGAAAATATTTAACACTTTTAAAATAAGAATTATTTCTAAGAACTAATTATAGAATATTATTCCATGCAACATTCATTACAAATAAAAAAATTCATGACCTTCAATACATTTCTAGTTGGTCACAGAACTTCTCCAACAGGACAGCTTTTAAAATCTGCTCATTTTTACTCATTTCATTTATTCAAGAAATACAATTTAAATTTTATTCTGTTTAACAAAAAAAAATTCTAAAAGCTTATTTTCTGTGTTAATGTTTAAAAGCCTTTTTCTGCATTGGAAACCATACTTGATAATTAATATGTTAAGAACACTATTCTTCACCCTCCAGGGGTATAAACCTTTTTTCTTGAATAATTATTCACATATAACTCACTAAAGTGGGTGGCATGGAAAGAAAAGCAGGAAAAAACAAGTGAGGATACAGGGAGGCAAAATGATTTTTAAGTATGACAAAAAAAAAGAAATGGGTCTATTTGGGCTTTATCTGGCACTTAGCAGGTTTTTAATAAATGTATCTTTGAGGTGTAATCCATCAAACTGCAAGTAGTATATCTATGAGGGGTTTCACAAACAGGATTTTAGAATAGGATCACACCAGAAACACTGTGCTCCCAGTGTGTGTGAGCAACTGGTTATATTACTCAAATATGATAAATTTAGATGAGTCATTATGGCTTAATTTCTTAAAACAAGATAGGCTTTGTGCAATTATTTAAGGTTTTGAGTATAGTACTTAATAAATCTCTATTAGGAAAAGTAAAGAAAATTGTAGAAAGGTTAAAATCATTTAATCCACTGGACCATGTGATTGAATGGGTTCAATGTTATCTAAGATTTGCCCCAGAGTAAGGCTTATTCATGAAATTATCACTACATTAACATTTCACATATAGTTTCTTTCCCATCTCTTCAATTATTAATGGTAAAAAAAACTTTTGATAAATGTAGACAATTCATATCAAAGATGACTCCTGTTATATGAATAACTAAAGATAAATTGCTTGCAGACTATTTGAGAGCCAAATTGTCCATAAAACTTTATTATTTCCAAACCATAATGAATTTACTTTACATTAAAATAAAACATTTATTTACAATGTTGAATATAAGACAATTGTTTTTATTAGCTTATATCATGTCTTGTTATTGTTTTTACCAAATACTCATAGGCTATTTAATTATTATATATATGTATTATCTTTGAAAGTTGAAGTCAGTGATCTTAAGGAAAATTTCCTTTAGATCTGCTCATTATAGTGATGCTAGTATTTTACAGGCAGTATATACAGAATAATACTTATTAATTAAATGGCCTCTCTCTCTTCTAAAGGAAGCTGTGCAACAGAAAACTGGATTCCTTTCATCTGTATATGGAATAAATCTCTTCTTTGGTCAAAAAAACATTGTTCACACACAGTTCAAGTGACTTAAGGGAAATTAAACATAAATAAGATAGCCTAGGGAATAGCACATGCCAAATTAATGAATTTATTGTGATTTTATTCTGTTACAGCAACTTTGTTGTGTGATTTGAGTAAATTATCTAATCGAATCCTCAAAATATTTAGGTAGTTATTTTGATGATGCCCAGTACTGAGAAGAAGCAAATTCAAGCAATGCAGCAAGGATCGTTCCGTAAGTGGTGAAGCTGTGTTTCAAGACACACGATCCAATGTTTCAGAAACTGGAATCTCATACACTAAGCTCTGTTGTCTGTCATTAACTAGTGCTCCAATCTTAGGAATGAGTCAGTTCTATTTGATGTAAGTATTTGTGATATTTCATTAGGTTGTCAGGTTGATCAGATGTGGGAATTTATTTTTTAATATTATTTCTCTAGTGTTTTAATAATAAAAGACAATCCAATGAACAAAACATTTGTAATTCCAAATAAAGTTCCTGATATATTTAATTTCAACCTAGTTTTTCTTTGAACAATTTATATATCTTAAAAGATATTTGTGATACGAAGGAAAATGCTGACCTAAAGTGTAATAGAAACTAAATTAATTTTAATCTGAGTAGTGAGAGAGAAGTTGAGAATATCTGAAAATCTGGGCTTCTTGCTTTATGAATAGAGTTGTCTCCTTTAGGCTCTAAACTCAGGCTCCATTGAGAGTAGCATTTATTGACCATGTGACGTGCATCATGAACTGCTAACATTGTTTTTCTCATGCCCTTTAAATTCTCTCAACAATCCTATATTGTATGTCTTAATATATCCACTTTATAGATAAGGATATAAACATTCACAGATGCTGAAGTAATCAGAATTCTTTATCTAGAAACAGATTCAAGCAGCTTTAAATTCTAAGCTCTTTTGTTATACACAATAACTCCTTTACAGAACACATTATTAAAAATTAAATTTTTAGCTAATCTATTATTTATTTCAGTAATGATATATTAATATTCTCATTTTTCAGATAATTACTGATTATTATTTTAATAGATTTCAATCACAGAAAATGTGTTGGATTGAATGATTTTGCCTTATAGAAACAGTTCTTCTTTAGGTGATGATTTGGCAATCAATACAAAGTAATATTTAGCTGTTATAACATTGTTTGATAGTGTGTAGAAAAGGTCATTTTTATCATGGGATATACATAACTTAGATATTGTGATGTATGACAAATCAAATACTTTAATTCAAATAATTAATATTTCATATTTTAATTGATTAGTGAACTTTATGCATTTCTTTTTTTAAACTTATTTTACATTCGGAGGTACATGTGTAGGTTTGTTATATAGGTAAATTCATGTCACAGGGATTTGGTGTACAGATTATTTTGTCACCCTGGTACTAAACTTAGTACCCAATATTTATTTTCTTTTTTTGTATTTTTTTATTTTATTTTGTTTTATTTTATTTTATTTTTTAATTTATTTTTTTGAGACAGGGTGTCACTCTGTCATCCAGGCTGGAGAGCAGTGGCACAATCTTGGCTCACTGCAACCTCCACTTCCTGGGTTCGATTGATCCTCCCACCTCAGCCTCCTGAGTAGCTGAGACTGCAGGCATAAACCACCACACCCAGCTAATTACTGTATTTTTTGTAGAGATAGGGTTTCGCCATGTTGTCTAGTCTGGTCTTCAACTTCTGAGCTTGAGCGATCTGCCCACCTTGGTCTCCCAAATTGCTGGGATTTAGGGCGTGAGTCACTGATGCCTGGCCCCAGTAGCTATTTTTTCTTATCCTCTCTCCTCCCACTGTCCACCCTCAAGTAAACTCCTGTGTCTGTTGTTCCCCTCTTTATGTCCACGTGTTTTCATCACTTAGCTCCAATTTATAAGTGAGAATATGCAGTGTTTGGTTTTCTGTTCCTGCATTAGCTTGCTTAGAATAATAGCTTCCAGCTCCATCCGTGTTCCTGCCAAGAACCTGATCTCATTATTTTTTTATGGCTGCACAGTATTCCATGTTGTATATGTACCACATTTTCTTTATCCATCGATGGGAATTTAGGTGGTTTTCATGTCTTTCTATAATGAACAGTGCTACAATGAACATATGCATGCATGAGAATTCATGGTAGAATGATTTATATTCCTTTGGGTATACATCCAGTATTTGATTTATAGTAAAATGATTATATTCCTTTGGGTATATACCCTGGATAGCTTGGTTGAATGGTAATTCTGTTTTTAGCTCTTTGAGGAATCACCATACTTCTTTCCCCAATGACTGAACTAATTTACACTACCATCAACAGTGTATAATCATTCCCTTTTCTACACAACCTCGCCAGCATCTGTTTGTTTTTTTTTTTTTTACTTTTTTGGTAGCCATTTTAGATGGTGTGAGATGATATCTCAGTATGGTTTTGATTTGCATTTCTCTAATAATTAGTGATACTGAACTTTTTTCATATGCTTGTTGGCAGCATGTATACCTCTTTTGAAAAGTGCCTGTCTATGCCCTCTGGCTACTTTTTAATGAAGTTGTTTGCCTTCTTCTTGTAAATTTGTTTAAATTCCTTATAGATGCTGGATATTATACCTTTGTCAGATGCATGGTTTGCAAAAATGTTTCCTTTTTGTGTAAGGAAGGCGTCCAGTTTCAATCTTCTGCATATGCAAGTTATCTCAGCACCACTTATTGAATAGGGAGTTCTTTCACCATTGCTCATTTTTGTGTGCTTTCTCAAAGATCAGATGGTTGTAGGTGTGTGGCATTATGTCCAGGCTCTCCATTCTGTTCCACTGATCTATGTGTCTGTTTTTGTACCAGTACCATGCTGTTTTGGTAATTGTATCCCTGCAGTATAGCTTGAAGTTGGGTAGCATGATACCTCCAGCTTTGTTCTTCTTGCTTAGGATTGCCTTGGCTATTCAAGCTCTTTTTTGGGTCCATGTGAATGTTAAAATACTTTTTTTTCTACTTCTGTAAAGAATGTCACCGATATTTTGATAGAAACAGCATTGAATCTGTAAATTGCTTTGGTCACTATGGCCATTTTAACACTATGTGTTCTTGGTACTTATGAGCACAAAATTTTTATTCATTTGTTTGTATCATTTTTCATTTCTTTGAGCAATGTTTTCTAATTATCATTGTAGAGATCCCTGGTTCCTTTAGCATTTTCTTCTTTTTGTGGCAATTGTGAATGGGATTTCATTCCTGATTTGGCTCTTGACTTGGCTGTTGCTGGTGTATAGGAATACTACTGATTGTACATCAATTTTGTATCCTGAAACTTTGCTGAAGTTGTTTATCAAATCTAGGAGCTTTTGGGCCAAGATTATGGGTTTTTCAAGCTATAGAATCATGTTGTCTGCAAAAAGAGATAATTTGACTTCCTCTCTTCCTATTTGGATGCTCTTTATTTCTTTCTCTTTCTCGATTGCCCTGGTCAGGACTTCCAATACTATGTTGAGTAGGAGTGGTGAGAGAGGGCATCCTTGTATTTGTGTGGGTTTTCAAGAGGACTGCTTCTAGCTTTTGCCCATTCAGTACGATATTGGCTGTGGGTCTGTCATACATTCCCCCTATTATTTTGAGGTATGCTCATTCAATATCTAGTTTATGGAGAATTTTTAACATGAAAGGATGTTTAATTTTATCAAAAGCATTTTCTGCATTTATTGAGATAATCACGTGGTTTTTGCCTTTAATTTTGTTTGTGTGATGAATCATATTTATTGATTTACGTGTGTTGAACCAACAACATTGCATCTCTAGGATAAAGCTTACTTGATTACAGTGGATTAGCTTTTTGATATGCTGCTGGATTCAGTTTACTAGCATCTTGTTGAAGACTTTTGCATCTATGTTCATCAAGGATATTGGCCTGAAGTTGTTGTTGTTGTGTCTCTGTCAGGTTTTGATAAAAAGATGATGCTGGCCTCATAGAATAAGTTGGGAAGCAGAACTTCATACTCAATTTTTTGGAATAGTCTCAGTAGGCATTATACCAGCTTTTCTTTGTACCTCTGGTAGAATTTAACTCTGAATCCGTCTAGTCCTATACTTTTTGGGTGGATAGGCTATTTATTGATTAATTTTTGGAGCTTGTTATTGGTGTGTTCAGGGATTCAATTTCTCCATGATTCAGTTGGAAGGATGTAGGTATCCAGGAATTAATCAATTTCTACTAGATATTCTAGTTTGTGTGCATAGAAATGTTCATGGTATTTGCTGATGGTTATTTGTATTTCTGTGAGGTACGTGATATGATCCACTTTGTTGATTCTAATTGTGTTTATTTGGATCTTCTCTCTTTTTTTCATTAGTCTAGCTAGGGATCTTACTAATTTTTTCAAAAACTGAATTCCTAGATTTGTTGATCTTTTGAATGTTTTTCCATGTCTCAGTCTTCTTCAGTTCAACTCTGATTTTGGTTAATTCTTGTCTTCTGCTAGTGTTGGGTCTGGTTTGCTCTTCTTTTTCTACTTCTTTTAGTTTTGATGTTAGGTTGTTAATTTGAGGTCCTTCTAAATTCTTGATGTGGTCATTTAGTGCTATAAATTGTCCTCTTTACACTCCCTTAGCTGTGTCCCAGATATTCTGGTGTATTATCTTTGTCTGCACTAATTTCGAAGAATTTCTTGTCACTGCCTTAATTTTATTATTTACCTAAAAGTTATTCAGAAGCAGATTGTTCAATTTCTATGTAATTGTATTAGTTGAGTGATTTTCTTAGTCTTGAATTTTATTTTTATTGTACGGTGTTCGAAGGGCATGGGTGGTATGATTTTGTTGTTTTTGCATTTGCTGAGGACTATTTTATGTCTAAGTGTGTGGTTGATTTTAGAGTATGTGCCATGTAACGATGAGAAGACTGTAAATATTGTTAGTTTTGGGTGAAGAGTTCCGAAGATGTCTATTAGGTCCATTTGGTCTAGTGTTAAGTCCAGATCCTGAATATCTTTGTTAATTTTCAGCCTCAATAATCTCTCTAATATACTCAGTGGGGTGTTGTAGTCTTCAAATATTATTGTGTGGGAGTCTAAGTCTCTTTGAAGATCTCTAAGAACTGGTTTTATGAATACGGGTGCTTCTGTGTTGGATGCATATATATTTAGGATAATTGTGTCTCATTGAATTGAGACCTTTACCATTGTTTAATGTCTTTCTTTTTCTTTTTTGGTCTTTGTTGGTTTAAAGTCTGTTTGTCTGAAATTAGGATTGCAATCACTGACTTTTTCTTTAAGAATGCTGAATATAGACCCCCAATCTCTTCTGGCAGGTCCATTGTTAGACTGATATGATTCCCTTCGTAGGTGACCTGCCCTTTCTCCCTAGCTGCCTTTAACATTTTTTCTTTCATTTTGATCTTGGGAAATCTGATGACTATGTGTCTTGGGGATGATCTTCTTTGTAGTATCTTGCCAGGGTTCTCTGTATTTCCTGAATTTTAATGTTTAGCTTTCTGTTGAGGTTGGGGAAGTTTTCATGGACAACATCCAAAAACACATTTTCCAATTTGTTTATTTTTTTCCCATCCCTTTCCAGAACACCAATGATTCATAGATTTGACCTCTTTACATAATCCCATATTTCTTGGAGCTTTTGTTTGTTTATTTTTATTCTTCTTTCTTTATTTTGTTCTGTCTTATGTCAGAGAGCTTGTCTTTAAGCTTTGAGATTCTTTCCTCAGCTTGGTCTATTCTGCTCTTAATACTTCTGATTCCATTATAAAATTCTTGTAGTGTGTTTTACAACTGTATTAGGTCAGTTAGGTTCTTTTACTATTTACATTGGCTATTTTCTCTGTCAGTTCCTATATCATTTTATTGTTATTCTTAGTTTACTTGGATTGGGTTTTGCCATTCTCCTGAATCTCAATGATTTTTGTTTTTATCCACATTTTCAATTCTATTTCTGTCACTTCAGCCATCTCAGCTCTGTTAAGAACCCTTGCTGGAGAACTAATGCAGTCATTTGGAGGTTATGAAGATACTCTGGCCATTTGAGTTGCTGGAGTTCTTGATTTTGTTCTTTCTCATCTCTGTGTGTGAGTGTTCCTTTAGCTGCAGTATCTTTTCTGGGTGTTTTCACAGAGCCAAAGCTTTGCACAGGGTCTTTATTCGTAGTTGACTTTTTTGTCTTTTGTATCTCAGGGGTATGTTAGCAAAGTATTCTTGGTATTGAAGTTTTAGGATATGATCCAGTAGGTGACACTTAGGTGTAATGATTAGTAATAGGCTCTTGTTCAGTCATGTGGCTCCCCTATATTTCTCCACAATTGCAGCTATGCTCCCTCTCAATGCTCTGAAGGTGTGGGCTCCCCTCCTACTTGAGTACTGGCTGTAGACAACAGCTTGGCACTTCCAGGCTGCTCATCACAGGTCTGGGGTGATTTCAATGTTTATGTTCCCTTCTCAACTTAGAGGCAGCAGAGGAAAAGACCTTAGCAGTGGTTGTGGCCAAGGGTCTTGCACTTGTCTGGGCTCTATCCCAGATAGTTTCAGAGCATCAATCACTCAGTGCAATCAGCCTGGGATGGGATTCTCTGTTGTCTGTCCAAGCCAGGGAGGCCCTGCCTATTGATGAGCAAGGGGGAGCAGGGCTGCAGCCCATGGGAGACAGACTGGCCTCCTCTCTTTGTGTTGACTGCAGCTTGCTGGGGCTAAGATACAGCATTTAGGATCTTTGCTCTTTCAAGAGAATAGTAGGGGCAGTACCACTGCAGAGGCAGTGGCAGAGGGGTTTTCAGTGGCCCCTCGAGTGACTCCACCTCCAACATGGAGTTGCTGTTACTGGCGGTGTTGAGTCGGGGGACTGGGGCAGTTGCACTGCTGGTGTGAACTAGAGCCTCTGCTTGTTGGGTGGCAGGGGTTCCAGGGCTCACAGGGAAGAGAGACTGAGCTCCTTTTCATATGGTATCTGTGGCATGCTGTAAGCTTGAGTGCAGCCTTCAGGCTTTTTGTTTCTTCCCCAGGCTGAGGGCAGCAGGGGAAGGACCACTGCTATGGCAGTGGCAGAGGGATAGTCAGTTGGCTCTAGGAGCCTTACCATAGAAAATCTCAGAGCCACTTCTGCTGGGCATGTTCAGCCACTGGTAGAGGTGGCTGTTCTGTGGTTTTGCACCAGGGGTCCTGTCTTAAGAGTGAGGGTGCAGGTTCCCAGGGTAGAGGGGCTGGACTCCTCTCCATATGGTGCCTGCTTTGTGCTGGCAGAGCCAGCTTAGAGACTAGGCCCTTTGTTCTTTCCTCAGCTCAAGGGCTGTTAGGGCTGTACTGCCAGAGGGTTTGTGGCTTGATTTTGGAATTTTCTCCTCAGAAATTCTGAGCTGACACTCACTGAAGTAATCAGACAGAGACAGGGTATTTGTGCTCCAGTCCCAGGTCAGGTGACCCTGTTCAGTGAGGTGAAGTGAGGACCAGGACCTGTGTGGAGGACAGTCCAGGTCAGGTGACCCTGTTCAGTGAGGTGAAGTGAGGACCAGGACCTGTGTGGAGGACAGTCCATTAACTTTTCTGTGAGGCGGCTGCCCTGTGCTGAGGGCCCAGAACAGCCCCTTGTCCCCCCAGACTCTCCCAAGCTTGGAGATGGCAAAGGCAAGGGCTGCTAGACAGCAAGGATGGCAGCTTGTCCCTCCCACTTGGAGTTCTGTCCTAGATAAGTGCAGAGCTGCTACTGGCTTGATAGCCTCAGCAGGGGGTGGTTTGAGACCCAGGCGAGTGGTCCTGCCCAGTGAGGAGAAATAAGATAGGTGACCCACAGTTGTTTTTTTATGTTGTTGTTGTTGTTTTTTTGCAGTCTGACTGCATTTTCAAAGGGCAGCAGTGCTGTGCTGGGGGTCTGCTCCAGTCCCTAGTCACCTCGTACTCCCTAAATGCTGAAGGCAAACAACAGCTAAGGCTGCAAAACAGCAAAGATGATGACCTGCCCCTCCCTCTGGGAGCTCCAACCCACGGGGGGATGGGGCTGCTGAAAACACCAGCAAAGGGTGACTGGAGACCCTGGTCCTGCCCAGTGAGGAGAAATTTCATCAGGGACTCGCATAAAGAAGCAGGCTGACTCCTTTTTCGTAGGGCAGCTGCGCTGAAGACTACAACAGCCAAGGCTGTGAAACAGCAAAGATAGCAGCCCATCTTTCCCTCTGGGAGCTCTGTCTCAGGGAGCTCAGGGCTGCTACTGGAGTCTGGCTGAAGTCCCAGGACAGTGGGTCTTATCCTGTGAGCTGCCCTGGAAGCCAGACCTGCAGACCATCACTGCTCAGCCCCCTGGATTCAGCCTCTTTCCTGTGGGCATGTATAGGACTTTAACCACCCCCTCTGCCAGAGCGGCAGCTGCTACTGCTAGGATGTGTGGTGACTCCAAATGTACCATAGAGGTGTCTCTGCTAAGACTCTAGGTAGCTGTGCATGTCAGACTGAAGGTCCTGGTGGAGTAAGTCAAGTGAGGGGATCTCCTGACCCCCGGGTTGCAAAGATCAGTGGAAGAAGCATAAGTCCCCGCGGTCTCTCATTCACTCTCTGTTTCCCTGGGCAGGAGAGCCTCCCCTAGCTCCATGTCACTCCAGGGTGGACAGTCATTTTGCCTTGCTCCTCTGCTTTATCTGTGGCTCGAGTTGTTTTCTTGATTATTCCCAGTCCATGCACCTATATGCTTTAGTTGAAAATGTAGTGAATGGGAGTTCACCCATGATTTGGCTCTCTGTTTGTCTGTTGTTGGTGTATAAGAATGCTTGTGATTTTTGTACATTGATTTTGTATCCTGAGACTTTGCTGAAGTTGCTTATCAGCTTAAGGAGATTTTGGGCTGAGACGATGGGGTTTTCTAGATAAACAATCATGTCGTCTGCAAACAGGGACAATTTGACTTCCTCTTTTCCTAATTGAATACCCTTTATTTCCTTCTCCTGCCTGATTGCCCTGGCCAGAACTTCCAACACTATGTTGAATAGGAGCGGTGAGAGAGGGCATCCCTGTCTTGTGCCAGTTTTCAAAGGGAATGCTTCCAGTTTTTGCCCATTCAGTATGATATTGGCTGTGGGTTTGTCATAGATAGCTCTTATTATTTTGAAATACGTCCCATCAATACCTAATTTATTGAGAATTTTTAGCATGAAGGGTTGTTGAATTTTGTCAAAGGCTTTTTCTGCATCTATTGAGATAATCATGTGGTTTTTGTCTTTGGCTCTGTTTATATGCTGGATTACATTTATTGATTTGCGTATATTGAACCAGCCTTGCATCCCAGGGATGAAGCCCACTTGATCATGGTGGATAAGCTTTTTGATGTGCTGCTGGATTCGGTTTGCCAGTATTTTATTGAGGATTTTTGTCTCAATGTTCATCAAGGATATTGGTTTAAAATTCTCTTTTTTGGTTGTGTCTCTGCCCGGCTTTGGTATCAGAATGATGCTGGCCTCATAAAATGAGTTAGGGAGGATTCCCTCTTTTTCTATTGATTGGAATAGTTTCAGAAGGAATGGTACCAGTTCCTCCTTGTACCTCTGGTAGAATTCGGCTGTGAATCCATCTGGTCCTGGACTCTTTTTGGTTGGTAAACTATTGATTATTGCCACAATTTCAGAGCCTGTTATTGGTCTATTCAGAGATTCAACTTCTTCCTGGTTTAGTCTTGGGAGAGTGTATGTGTCGAGGAATGTATCCATTTCTTACAACGGATGTGAAGGACCTCTTCAAGGAGAACTACAAACCACTGCTCAAGGAAATAAAAGAGGACACAAACAAATGGAAGAACATTCCATGCTCATGGGTAGGAAGAATCAATATCGTGAAAATGGCCATACTGCCCAAGGTAATTTACAGATTCAATGCCATCCCCATCAAGCTACCAATGACTTTCTTCACAGAATTGGAAAAAACTACTTTAAAGTTCATATGGAACCAAAAAAGAGCCCGCATTGCCAAGTCAATCCTAAGCCAAAAGAACAAAGCTGGAGGCATCACACTACCTGACTTCAAACTATACTACAAGGCTACAGTAACCAAAACAGCATGGTACTGGTACCAAAACAGAGATATAGATCAATGGAACAGAACAGAGCCCTCAGAAATAATGCCGCATATCTACAACTATCTGATCTTTGACAAACCTGAGAAAAACAAGCAATGGGGAAAGGATTCCCTATTTAATAAATGGTGCTGGGAAAACTGGCTAGCCATATGTAGAAAGCTGAAACTGGATCCCTTCCTTACACCTTATACAAAAATCAATTCAAGATGGATTAAAGATTTAAACATTAGACCTAAAACCATAAAAACCCTAGAAGAAAACCTAGGCATTACCATTCAGGACATAGGCGTGGGCAAGGACTTCATGTCCAAAACACCAAAAGCAATGGCAACAAAAGCCAAAATTGACAAATGGGATCTAATTAAACTAAAGAGCTTCTGCACAGCAAAAGAAACTACCATCAGAGTGAACAGGCAACCTACAACATGGGAGAAAATTTTCGCAACCTACTCATCTGACAAAGGGCTAATATCCAGAATCTACAATGAACTCAAACAAATTTACAGGAAAAAAACAAACAACCCCATCAAAAAGTGGGCGAAGGACATGAACAGACACTTCTCAAAAGAAGACATTTATGCAGCCAAAAAACACATGAAGAAATGCTCATCATCACTGGCCATCAGAGAAATGCAAATCAAAACCACTATGAGATATCATTTCACACCAGTTAGAATGGCAATCATTAAAAAGTCAGGAAACAACAGGTGCTGGAGAGGATGTGGAGAAATAGGAACACTTTTACACTGTTGGTGGGACTGTAAACTAGTTCAACCATTGTGGAAGTCAGTGTGGCGATTCCTCAGGGATCTAGAACTAGAAATACCATTTGACCCAGCCATCCCATTACTGGGTATATACCCAAAGGACTATAAATCATGCTGCTATAAAGACACATGCACACGTATGTTTATTGCGGCACTATTCACAATAGCAAAGACTTGGAACCAACCCAAATGTCCAACAATGATAGACTGGATTAAGAAAATGTGGCACATATACACCATGGAATACTATGCAGCCATAAAAAATGATGAGTTCATATCCTTTGTAGGGACATGGATGAAATTGGAAACCATCATTCTCAGTAAACTATCGCAAGAACAAAAAACCAAACACCGCATATTCTCACTCATAGGTGGGAATTGAACAATGAGATCACATGGACACAGGAAGGGGAATATCACACTCTGGGGACTGTGGTGGGGTCGGGGGAGGGGGGAGGGATAGCACTGGGAGATATACCTAATGCTAGATGACACATTAGTGGGTGCAGCACACCAGCATGGCACATGTATACATATGTAACTAACCTGCACAATGTGCACATGTACCCTAAAACTTAGAGTATAATAAAAAAAAAAAAAAAAAAAAAGAAAATGTAGTATTTACATACCCCTTTTATTTCTCTCCATGAGCACCGTGGCATACTAGTGGCTTCTAGTCCGCCATCTTGGACCCCCATGTGTTTTTATTTAACAAATAAGAAATATAATTATAATAACGAATATAATTTGAAACACATCTGCATTCGCCAGATTCTAGCAACTATCAGATTCTAACCTTGGGGGAGTTGTTTAACTTCTCTGGGTCTCAGTTTTCCCATCTGTAAAATAGGTCATCAAAACTATGTACATGTAGGGTTATGAGTATTAAATGAGTTTGTACATATATAAGAAATAACAAGTCAAGTCATGCACACAGAGCCTGATTAATGTTAGCTGAAGAGTTATCACCTATCTTTTTTCATAGTAATCCTGTTGGCTATTATTATTATTATTGAATATGTACGTGTTTTCTTCCTTGTCATTATTTCTGTTTTTTAGCTTTTTTTTTTTTTTGAGGAGTCTCGCTCTGTCGCCCAGGCTGGAGTGCAGTGGTGTGATCTCGGCTCACTGCAAGCTCCACCTCCCAGGTTCACGCCATTCTCCTGCCTCAGCCTCCTGAGTAGCTGGGACTACAGGTGCCTACCACCACGCCTGGCTGATTTTTTGCATTTTTAGTAGAGATGGGGTTTCACCGTGTTAGCCAGGATGGCCTCGATCTCCTGACCTTGTGGTCCACCCGCCTTGGCCTCCCAAAGTGCTGGGATTACAGGCGTGAGCCACTGCACCCGGGCCTGTTTTTTAGCTTTTAAGTTCAGGGGTATATTTGCAGGATGTGCAGGTTTGTTGCCTAGGTAAACCAGTGTCATGAAGGTTTGTTGAGCAGATTGTTACATCACTCAGGTATCAAGCCTAGTATTCATTAGTTATTTTTCCTGATCCTCTCCCTCATCACACCTTCCACCCTCAGTTAGGCCCCAGTGTGTGTTGTTCATGTCCTTTGCAGGGACATGGATGGAGCTGGAGACCATTATCCTTAGCAAACTAACACGGGACAGAAAACCAAATACGGCATGTTCTCACATGTAAGTGGGAGCTAAATGATAAGAACACATAAACGCATAGAGGGGAACAACACACACTGGGGCTTATCACCTATTTTGATACAACAATGCAAAAGGAACAGTTAACATTCTGTGTAAACAGTCTATTTTTTTCAATAACTGCATGCGCTTTACTTTCTAAAGTAAATTGTAGGCATTTGTTTTGTCATAAGCTTTATGTTGGGTATTATTTCAATTGCATTACAGGTTTTAAATTAGAATCGGGTCATATGTACCTAATAAGTTCCATACTGCATACAGATTTCGTTTATGCTTTTGTTTTGTTTTTCCCACTAAGCTTGTAAATTTATTAACTAAAAGATTAGTATACCAACTGTAATATAAAGTCATAAATATTACTATTTTTATTAAATAATAACAATGAAATTTAATTTTGTTGGTTGCTTGAAAGATGGAAAAAATTGCTTTTATGTTGCTTCATGTAACTGCTTATTGGCTTCTGGAAGAAATATGTGCAAATTTTTGTTGCATAAATGTGTTACTTCCATCATCATTAGCCATGGCTTGATTACTGGAAATTATTATTTAACCGATGCAAGAGAAATATCAGCAAGCTTCTTTGCAATTTACTATTGAAAGATTATCATTTAAGACCAGAGAACCAATTAATATACTATCTTCATTAGGCTTTTGAGATGAAGAATCATCACTTGTCAAAGAATAATTCACATAATTCAGATAGATATAATTTAACCATGTGTAAACAAATAATCATAATGTCAAAACATTTTTAATGTATTTTAAATATTTCACTTAAAAAAGATCAGAAAATTATTTATGTTTAAAAACTAGATTTAAAAAAAAAGCCATGAAGATACAAAAGCATAGTACATAACAAACTCTGACACATAAAGCAAACACATGGATCTTAAGTTAAATATTCTATAGCCACATAAAAAGTCTTTTAAAATATTTTCTAAATTTTCTCATCAAGTATCTTACACATTTTAGTGCAGGGCAACAAACATTTATTTAACAATTGTGACTTCAGCAATCTGCTATGTACTGGGAGTAAAAGTTTTAATAAAATGCATTTGCTATCCTCCAAGCACTTACTGATTACCAGTAGAAAGACATAAAGTATATTATATTAGGTCTTAAAGAGGGATATTTCCACCAGTGGTAAGTGAGCACATAAGGGACAATTAGCCTACCTTGAATTTCAGGGAAGTCTTAACAGAAGAATTCTCCCTGTCTGCCAGGCGCAGTGGCTCACACCTGTAATCCCAGCACTTTGGGAGGCCAAGGTGGGCAGATATGAGGTCAGGAGTTCGAGACCAGCCTGACCAATATGGTAAAACCCTGTCACCACTAAAAATTCAAAAATTAGCTGGGTGTGGTGGCACACACCTGTAGTCCAAGCTACTCTTGAGGCTGGGGCAGGAGAATTGCTTGAACCCAGGAGGCAGAGGTTGCAGCGAACCAAGATCACACCACTGCACTCCAGCCTGGATGACAGAGCGAGATTCCTTCCAAAAAAAAAAAAAAAGAAGAAGAAGAAAGAAAAGAAGAATTCTCCCTATCAACCACATTTCCCCAAATGGAAATGGAAATATAAAAAATGTAATAGCTATCATATGTGCCTTATAAATGTCAGCCACTTCAATTTCAGTCTTCATACCCACAGCAATACTGCAAGGGAGACAATGGTATCCCCAGCTTATGGATGAGAAAACTGACATTTAAACATACTTTATGATTTACCAAGATTGCACATGAGAAGGTAAACGTCCACAAATCACATATAGAAACAAAGAAATCATGGTCTTTCCAAGTTATTAGTAAGATTTTATATACTGATGACATTCCACACATTGATCTTAGTTTAAGAAAATTCTGGCAATCATAGCTAAGGAATGAATATTTACTATCTTGACTGGATAATATTTACATTGTCACA
The DNA here is from genome assembly GCF_000001405.40 of Homo sapiens. Lineage (NCBI taxonomy): Eukaryota > Metazoa > Chordata > Mammalia > Primates > Hominidae > Homo > Homo sapiens. The sequence continues at coordinate 20,641,297 of NC_000005.10, read as the reverse complement.
AAAAGTATATTCTTACTGGTGATTTCCCTATAAGGTCAAGTGAGCGAGAGAAAGATAAAATACCATCATGTAGTAAGATGATCTACGGTAACAAGAAAGGGTTCTCCCACAATAACTGAAAACCTTTGTTGATAAGAGCCTTTGGCTGAAAAACAGCACAAATTCATGTTTTTTATTTTGTATATTCAATACTTGGAAGTTTCTGAAGTACACTGTGATGATTTTACATGTTTTGACATAGCACCCTTTGCTATGCACACTTTAGAAAATGAATTCCCTCTAGATATAATTTTATTCAATTATATTCACACATTTTGTTTGAGGTATCAATGTAATCATATGTAGTGAATAATACAGGTACGTAAATATTTTAAAATAAACACCATATCCCATTATCTTCTATATACACTAAGCATGTATTTCTTATTTCTCTCATCTTTTATAATGGGATTACTCACGAGCTTTCTCTACATTTAATCCATGCAATTGATAAAAGATAGAATAATCATATATTTATTTTTCATGTAGCTCAATATTATCATTTCAAATGTATTACCAAAAGCAACACTGAAAATAATATACATGTTGAAAATAATTAGAAATTTGAATCCAGATGGCCTTATATCACTAAATGTAGCAATAGTACAATAGGAAAATGGCAAACAAAGAACAGTAATAGATATTGCTAAAATCTAATTCTAACACTAGAATTAGGATAATTCTATACTAGAATCAGGATAATACTCCTGAAAATTATAAAATTAAACTTGGTCATCTGTTTACTGAACACCTTCACTAAACTACATGGTAGTCAAAATAATAACACACACAGCTAGCATCTTGGTGCAGCCAAAACTTCTTGTGTTTGTTTTTTGTTTTTTGGGTTTTTTTTAGATAGAGTCTCTCTCTGTTGCCAAGACTGGAGTGCAGTGGCGCGATCTCGGCTCATTGCAATCTCTGCCTCCCAGGTTCAAGTGATTCTCCAGCCTCAGCCTCCCGAGTAGCTGAGGCCACAGGCAGGAGCCACTGCGTCCGGTTAATTTTTGTAATTTTAGTAGAGAAGGGGTTTCATCATGTTGGCCAGGCTGGTCTCGAACTCCTGACCTCAAATAATCTGCCTGCCTCAGCCTCTCAAAGTGCTGGGATTACAGGCACAAGCCACCGCGCCCGGCCAAGATTTTTTAATTAGGGAAGGTTTGATGCAGACTGATTAGGTGCAGCCCACCATCCTGGCTAACACGGTGAAACCCTGTCTCTACTAATACAAAAACAAAATCAGCCTGGCGTGGTGGCGGGCGCCTATAGTCCCAGCTACTCAGGAGGCTGAGGAGGGAGAACGGCTTGAACCCAGGAGGTGGAGCTTGCAGTGAGCCCAGATGGCGCCACTGCACTCCAGCCTGGGAGACAGAGCGAGACTCCATTAAAAAAAAAAAAAAGAAAGAAAGAAAAGAAAAGAAAAGAAAATTCACTGGGAATATTTCAGATATTCTCTTTCAGCTATTTTAAAATATACAATATAATATGTTAACTAGAGTTATCTTACTGTACTATTGAACACCAGCACTTATTTCTTCTGCATGTCTGTACCAATTAAACAACTCTTCATTCTCACCCTCCCCAGCCTCTGGTAACCAACATTTTACACTCTGTTCCCATGAGATCAAATGTTTCGGCTTTCACCTATTAGTGAGAACATGCAACATTTGTCTTTCTGTGCCTGGTTTATTTCAGTTAGCATAATAACCTCTAGTTCCATACATATTGCTTCCAATGATAGTATTTTACCATATTTTATTGCTGGATTAAAAAATACATTGTATATATAAAATACATTGTATATATTTGTGGGTATAGGCATACAGACACATATGTATACATATAACATTTTCTTTATGCATTCATTCATTGATGGACACATGTTTATTCTACACTTCAGCTACAGTGCTGTAATAAACATGAGGGTGCATGTACCCCTTTTATGTGCTGATTTCCTTTCCTTTGAATAAATACCCAGTCGTGGTATTGCCAGATCGTGTAGTCATTCTATTTTCAGTTATTTGAGAAACATCCATACTGTTTTCCATAAAGGCTGTAATAATTTATATTAATTTATATTCCCAATAACAATGTATAAGAGTTCCCTTTTCTCTGCATCCTTTCTGGGATTCTTTTTTTGTTTTGTTTTGTTTTGTTTTTTTGTTTTGTTTTTGATAATAGCCGTTCTAGCTGGGGTAAGATGATAACTTTTTGTGGTCCTGAATTGCATTTTCTGATGGTTAGTGATGTTCACTGTTTTTTTCATATACCTGTTGGCCATTTGCATGTCTACTCAGACCTTTTAGCCACTATTTAATGGAATTATTATTATTATATTATTTATTGTCATGATATTGCTGTTTAGTTGAGTTAATTATTTTGGTTATTCATTTCTTGTCATATAGTTTGCAAATATTTTCTCCCATTCTACAGGTTGTCACTTCACTCTGTTGATTTCCTTTTCTTCGCAGAAGACTTTTAGTTTTATAAAGTTACATTTGTCTATTTTTTTTTTTTGCCTATGATTTTGAAATCTTAGCCATAAAATCTTTGCCTAGATCTATGCCCTGAAAGTTTCTCCCTGTGTTTACTTCTAGTAGTTTTATAGTTTCAGATGTTACATGTAAGTCTTTAATCTCTTTTGAGTTGATTTTTGTATATGATGAGAGATAGGTGAATAGTTCCATGGTTCTGCATATGGACATCACGTATTCCCAGTACGATTTATTAAAGAGGGCATCCTTTCCTCAGTGCATGTTCTTGGTGCCTTTTCTGAGAATCAATTGGCTGTAAATATATAAATTTATTTCTGGATTCTCTATTCTGTTTCATTGGTCTATATGGTCTATATGTCTGTTTTTATACTAATATTATGCTGATTTGGTTATTACAGCTTTGTAGAATAGTTTGAAGTCAGGTGTTGTGGTGCCTCCAGCTTTATTCTTCTAACTCAGGATTGTTTTGGCTATTTAGGGTCTTTTGTGGTTTCATACAAATTTTGGGACTGCTTTCCTGTTTCTGTGAAAAAAAATAATTATTGGTATTTTGATAGGGATTGCATTGAATCTGTAGATTGCTTTCGGTATTACAGTCATTTTAACAATGCTAATTCTTTCAACCCATGAGTATTAGATATCTTTCAGTTTGTGTCCTCTTTAATTTCTTTCATTCATGTTTCATCATTATCCTTGCATAAAAATTTCACTAACTCGGTTAAATGTACTTCTAGATATTTTATTTTCTGTAGCTACTGTAAACAGATCTGTCTTCTTTATTTTTCAGTTAGTTTATTATTGATGTACAGAAACACTATTCATTTTTGGGCTGGGCACCGTGGCTCATGCCTGTAATCCCAGCACTTTGGGAGGCCGAGGCAGGCGGATCACCTGAGGTCAGGAGTTTTGAGAACAGCCTGGCCAACATGGTGAAAACCCATCCCTACTAAAAATATAAAAATTAGCCATGCGTGGTGGTGGCGCCTGTAATCCCAGCTACTCAAGAGGCTGAGGCAGGAGAATTGCTTGAACCAAGGAGACAGAGGTTGCAGTGTATTTTTGTTGGTGTTTAGTCTCCATTTTGTATAGTTTTGCTCTGATATGTGTTATTACTTTCATTCTACTAATGTTGGATTTGGTTTTCTTTTTTTTTTTTTTGAGACGGAGTCTCGCTCTGTCGCCCAGGCTGGAGTGCAGTGGCGCAATCTCAGCTCACTGCAAGCTCCGCCTCCCGGGTTCACGCCATTCTCCTGCCTCAGCCTCCCGAGTAGCTGGGACTACAGACGCCCGCCACCACGCCCAGCTAATTTTTTGTATTTTTAGTAGAGACAGGGTTTCACAGTTTTAGCCAGGATGGTCTGGATCTCCTGACCTCGTGATCCGCCCGCCTCGGCCTCCCAAAGTGCTGGGATTACAGGCGTGAGCCACCGCGCCCGGCCGGATTTGGTTTTCTAATTCCTTGCTTTCTTAATTCCTTGAGGTGCATTGTTAGATTGTCTATTTGACATATTTGTATTTTTTATGTAGGCATTCATTATTATAAACTTCCCTCTTAGCACTAGTTTTGTTGGATCCCAGAGGTATATATGTTGTGTTTTTTCTCTATTTGTTTCTGGAATTATTTTCTTTTTAATTTCATCATTGACCCAGTGGTCATTCAGGATCCTGTTGGTTAATTTCTATGTATTTGTATTGCTTTCAAAGTTCCTCTTACTATTGATATCTAGTTTTGTTGCACCGTAGTCTGAGAAAATATTTGAAAAAAATTTGATTTTTTAAAATTTGTTGAGACTTGTTTTGTAGCCTAACATATGAGTTACCCTGCTAGAATGCTGCATATGCTCCTGAGAAGAATGTGTATTCTGTGACTGTTGGATAAAATATTCTGTAAATGTTAGGTTCACTTAGTCTAAAATTCAGTTCAAACTCCAACACTCCACCCACAGCATTTGACACATTATGTGAGTGGAGTGTTGAAGTCCTCAACTATTATTGTATTGGAGTCTATCTCTGCCTTTAGATTTAATAATATTTGTTGTATCTATCTGGATGTTGTAGTGTTGGGTGCCTACACATTTACAATTGTTATAGTCTTGCTGAATTGATACCTCTATTATTATATAATGACCTTTTTCATCTCTTTTAACTCTTTCTGACCTAAAGTCATTTTTATTGGTATAAATATAGCTACTCCTGCTAAATTTTGGTTTTCATTTGCATGGAATATCTTTTTCCGTCCTTTCACTTTCATTTTATTTGTCTTCATAGATGAGATGAGTTTCTTCTGGACAGCATATGGTTGGGTCATGTTTTTCTTAATCCATTCAGACAATCTATATCTTTTTAGGGGGTAACTGAATCCATTTACATTCCAGCTTATTATTGATATGTAAAAAGTTATTCCTGTCAATTTGTTAATTATTCTCTGATTATTTTGTGTATCTTTTGTTCCTTTCTTTCACTTTGTTTTTTATTGCAATTTGATGGTTTTCTGTAATAGTAATATTTAAGCCCATTTTTTTCTTAAATTTCTGTATCTGTGTGTGTGCTCTGTAAGTGAGTATTATACTTCATGTGATTTCATGATGGCAAATACTGGCCCTCACATCTAGATGTAGAATTCACTTACGAAGGACCAAGACTCCCTTCTTGTAGGATCAGTCTTGTGACAAATTCTCTCAGTTTGTGCTTGTCTGGAAAGGAGTTTTTCTTCATTTTTAAAGAATAGCTTTCTAATATAGTGTTCTTTGCTTCTTGGCTGATTTTTTTTTCCTTTCAGGACTTTGAGTGTATCATCCCATTCTTTGCTGGCTTGTAAGGTTTCTGTTAGAAAAACCCTGTAAGTCTGATGGGGGTTCACTTAAATGTGACTTAGTGCTTTTCTGTTCCTGTTTTTAAAATTCTGTTTTGACTTTTGATGGTTTGACTATAATGTGTATTGGAGAAGACATTTTTGGGTTGATTCTATTTGGGAATTATTTGAAATTTCTGCATTTGGATGCTTTTATTTCTTGCAAGACTTGGGAAGTTTTTGGCTATTATTTCATTAAGTAGGTTTCTATGACTTTGTTTCTTCTTTCTCTGGAATGCCCAAACTCAAACACTTGTTCTCTCTGTGGAGTCTCATATGTCCTGTAGGCTTTCTTCATTATTTTTTATTCTTTTTTTTTTTTGATCTGACTAGATTATTTCAAAATACCTGTTTTCAAGTTCAACAATTTTTCTTCTGCTTGATTTAGTCTTATTGAAGCTCTTTTTGTATTTTTATTTATGTAATTGTTCAAGTTCAGAATATCTGTTTGCTTTTATATGATATACATCTATTTGTTTAATTTCCTATTCAGATTATGAATTTTTTCTGATTTCTTTGTATTTTTTATCTGTGTGCTCTTGTATCTCACTGAGTTATTTTAATGTTATTATTCTGAATTATTATTTAAGGATTTCATAGACTTCCTTTTTGTTGAAATCTGTTGCTGAATAGATAGATACTCTTTTTTTCCTTTGGAGGTGTCATGTCTCCTTGCTTTTTCTTATTTCTTGTGTCCTTACATTGAAATCTGCATCGATGTAACAGTTGCTTGTTCCAATTTATGGAATGGCTTTCATAGGGAAAGACTTTCTACAGATGTATCTATTACGTTGATTGAATACGATGCTTTGGCTTTGATTTTCAGTGCATGCAGTAGTGCAGTCTCTGTATGATTTCTTTAACTGTAATCACTATCAGTGGTTCCTGTGAGTTATTCAGTGGCTTCAGCTGCAGTTGTTAGTGGAGACTGTGGTGGAACATTGCTAAGGATGGCAACACAAGCTGGGCCAGTCCTCAGGCCCCAGTGGTGGCAGCAGTGGGCTGAGCATGTTAGCCCTTGTGTATGCAGTATACATGGGTACTGGTGGTAGCAGCTAGAGATAGACCATTTTGAGGGCCTCCAGGTGGCTTTCTTAAGCGTTTGCATTGGCACCAGTAGGCTGGAGAGATCCTCTAGGCACCAGTAGACTGGACAAGCTCTAGGCAGCTTATACAGCATCTGTGATCAAAATAACAGTGGTGTGCCAATCCTCAGGCTTCCAGGTAGTGCTTGTTGGGAAACATGCCAGCAGCAGTGGTGGCAGCAAGCTTGGCGGGTCCATCCCCAGGCTCTCGTTAGGGGTGCACAGATGACAGTGGTGGTGGACAGGTCGACCTCTAGGACCATAGAAGACACATGCCGGTACTGGCAGGGGTGGCACCAGGTGAGCTGGGCCTGTCCTCAGGCCCCTTACCGTGCACACAGACTGTGGAAGATGTTTTTGTCAATCCCCAGCCCCGTGGCTCGTGTGTGTAGGCATGAGCAGACTGGGTGGAGCAATCCACTGGCCTCCAGAAGGCATGCATGGGAACTAATGGAAGTCGGGGGAGTCAGATCAACCCCAAGCTCCCAGATAATGCACACAGGCACTGGCAAGAAAGGTATCAAAAGGAGTGGTCTTTTTCTGCATCCCCATGATAGTTTATCAGGATGCAAGTGGTGGTAGGCAGGACATGTAAATTCTCTTGTCCCTTACCAGTGTTCTCAGGTGCTGACAGCGGGCAGGCTGGATCTGTTTCCAGGTCTCCTGATGGTGCACCTTTGTGCATCAGCAGTGATAGGCAGGGAAGGCTGATATCTAGGCCTCACATCCGCAGTGGTGAAAAGGCCTGGGCCTTAGGCCACCAATGGTATATGTTGGTACAGTCTGTGGTACGTGGGGTAAGTCAATCTCCTGGCTCCTAGACGACACTTGTGGGCACTGGTAGGGACAGCACTGGTCAGAGGGGGCCTGTCCTCAGGCTCACTGATGATGCAGGCAAGCACCAGCTGTGGCTGGCAAGAGGTATTGATTTCCAGGCCCCCAGATGGTGAGATTCAGTGGGAGCAATGGTGGGTGGGACAGGTCTGCTCTTAGGTCCACGGAAAGTACCTGAGCTTCAGGTCCCTAGGCCCCCTGAAAGCTTGTACAGATATGTGGCAGCCCTACTGCTGGGAGGGGGCAGGGTTGCTGTCAGGGGCAGTATTCCTGTGCACACTGCCCTCAGGCTCTGGGAGGCATGTGCTTCAGCTCCCTTTGTCCCAGGGACAGTCTTCTTACTGAGTTTCACCACAAATTCCCTTGGCTATACGAAACTGCATGGGCTAGACTGCTGGAGATTCATCTGCACCGCTGGTCCACCCAGTGCAGTGATGCTACAGTTTTCTGGGTAGACATACGGAGATGTCAATGAGGATCCAGGGATGTGGAGACACAGGGGCCCTTTGGGTCCCAGGGCAGGATGTAGTCTGGTTGGGGCTGGGCTCTCTAAATGGCACCAGGCTGCAGTCGTTTGTGTCTCAGGGAAGTGTGCGGGGCCCAGTACAAATTCATTCTCTCGAACCATGTTATTGTGTGGACTCTCCCTAGGGAGTGTGGCAGTTCCCTAACCTGGTCCCAGAGACCATGATGGCTGAGGCTATCTCTGTGGCTAGTACCACAGTAGTCTGCAGTGGGAATGTGAACTACTGGGATCTGTCACTTACATATTTTCTGCACTGGAAGGTTTCTCCTGGTTCACAGCTGGTCCCAGCCTGGGAGGATGCTTCACTTCCTTTTACTTCTCTGCCTAAGAGGTTCCCTGACACTTCCCTGCTGAATTTTACTGTTCTGTGTTATACTCTCTATTTGACTTGTTATTATCTACTATTTGACTTATTATTATCTACTCACTGTTTTGGTCCTTTTTTCCAGAGGAGGCGAGTGCTAGGTGCCTTTAGTCAGCCATCTTGAAGCCCTTCCCTATGTATTTTAACTATAGCTTAAAAAATCAACAGGAAAGTAAGAAATTAGTGTAGTAAGAGTTATACAGGAAATAAACGTCTTAGAGAGGTCCAATTTATATTTTATGAATACTTCAATAAAGTTATATTTCCTATGAACATTATTTAATGCTATTATTTATAAAGTTACTTTCTTTTCTCCTCAAAGTTTAAATGAAATCTGAATCCATAATATACTGGCCACCTAGTTAATGAATAATGCTCAGAATATTAATTATATTGTGAGTATGCATATATGAACAGAATAAAATTCTAATGGGATTCATTTTTTCCTTTTTGCTTTCATTTGAAATGTATTAAAATTGAGCACTATGAAATTGTGTAATATCTTTCGAACTTAAATTGTTAAATAAACTTATAAAAATGCAATAAGACTTAACCATGGTATGTAATTGAGACAAAAAGGAGGTGCAGTGTAGTGTCCCTGGGTCCCCGGCATATTTTATTAATGCAAACCATGGCCTGATAGACTATTAAATACAGTATCACAAACCGTAATTTTTCAAGAGACTTGTAAGAACTAGTACAGGTTTACAATATATTGTTTTGAAAAGTAAGGACAGCAAAATAATAAAATATCAATGATACACAGCTATTTTAATATTGTAAAACTGCAAATGTATATGAGCAGATAAAGATCACTCCTTTTAACATTAGCTTCATTGAAAACTCCCTATTTTGTTCTCATTTTTCTCCTTTCATAACTGACTGGTAAAATTTTATTTATGGTCTACCTACAATGCTTATAGAGCAGTTAGTAACCACCAGAAGAGTTCATTAGCACTGAATCGCTGCCTTGTGGATTTAGTGACACACATGCAAAGCTGGGATTCAGCAAGAAACAGATGAATTTGAGCCATTTTTGGACCACAGTGCAAAATGCTCAAAAGGTAATATTCCTTGAGGAAAACAATATGCATCTTAATAGGTAACATCCATCTCTCCCATCTTATTAAACATTACCAGTCATTTTCAGCAAACTAACACAAGAACAGAAAACCAAACACCGCATGTTCTCACTCATAAATGGGAGCTGAACAATGAGAACACATGGACACGGGGAGGCAGGCATCAGACACCGGGGCCTGTTGGGGGGTGGGGGACTGGGGGAGTGATAGCATTAGGAGAAATACCTAATGTAGATGACGGGTTGATGGGTGCAGCAAACCACCATGGTACGTGTTTACCTATGTAACAAGCCCGCACGTTCTACACATGTACCAGATAAAGTATAATTTAAAAAAATTAATGATACTATTGTTTCCCATTTCTCATTAGATTATTTCCCTCCCTCCCTCCTTCCTTCTTCTCTTTCCTTCCTTCGTTCTTTCCTCCCTCCCTCCCTTCCTTCCTTCCTCCCTTCCTTGTTTCCTTCTTCCCTCCCTTCCTATCTTTTGTCTCTCTATCTTCCTTCCTTTTTTTTCAGATACAAGTCATGAGTTACATTCTATAGCAAATTAGAAATGTATCAAGTTATTGTAATTACTCAAATGGCCTTAATTTGTTTCCTGCAAAGTCCATTAATAAAAAAAGAGATAATTGTTCATCTGTCAAATTCAGGACATATTGCAATGAAATACTGATAGAAATGTAAAGACATAATTATAATTCTTTTCACTGTTAAAAAAGTAAGGTTCTAATGTGAAAAAAAGTTTTAACTATTATAACAGTTACTGTGCTGTAGCTAAAATTGTAAAATAAAAAACGAATTTTACATTTATAAATTACTTAAAATATGTTTCATCAGTTTATTATTAGAAATCAAAGATGATATAAGTGGAGTATAAATGAGACCCCAAAATAGCTCTCTTCTCCTTCTCTTTTCATTCATTTATTTACCATGTATCATGCCCTTGTTCAGTGCAGCACAATAATCTTGTGATATGTCTGTCATCTCTCTCACAAGAGTTTCTGAGTTAGAAAGAGTTAATGATAAATCCATTGAGATTCAGGCATTTGGATCAGATAATAAAACAAATTAGAACAATTGAAAGAGCAGACATTATCTAATGTGACTCATAAATTTGAGAAATCTCAGAATTGGCAAATAGACTAGTCCAGAAGTAGTAGCAAAGCTGAGCTTTATTATTAAAAAAAAATTCAACAGTGTTTTTTTTAATAATTCAAAAACTAAAACACTAAGATGACTATTTTACAAAATTGAGAAGCTCTTAATTTTTATCTAAAATAACATGTATTTAAAGAGCTTTATTAGTCAACAAATTTATTAATTCTATCAATATGAATGATTGACCTTCATTCATATGGATATAGCTTGAAGAGTTTTATCTACTGTGTGCCTGATATGTCTTTAAATTTTGACATACTACAGTCAACAAAACATCCATGTGCATATGTGTAAATGCAGTTGATCCAGAGAAAGACTGGCATGATATATACCAGCATATGGACTAATAATTCTTTGTGATGGGGCTGTCCTGAGGACTGAATGATTGAGCATTATCTCTGGCTAATACACACTAGAGGTTTTCTTCACTCCCTCTATTTAGATAAGGCAATCAAAAATGTCTCTATACATTGCCAAATATTATTCTGGGGTAAAAATTGTCCACATTTGAGATCCATGTAGGTATACCAACAACTTACAATATAATTTATTTAGGGATAAGAGAGTGTTACAGACGAAAAAAAGAAGGTGAACTGGCCTTTGAAAACACACATTTCTATGTCAACCAATTTGAATCTTTTTTATAAACTGGAGATGATTTTTGTGGATTACTTATGTAATTTTAAGAAACTGGTAAAAAAAATCAAAGATAAGCACCTAAATGCAAAAGATAAACAGAAAATATTCATATTGCCTATGTAAACACACAAAAGTATGATAACTAGTATATTATCTCTTTGTATTCAATTCCTTGATAAGGTTTGACTGTGACCCTACCCAAATCTCATCTTGAATTGTAGCTATCCATAATCCCCATGTGTCATGGGAGAGATCTGATGGGAGGTAATTGAATCATGGGTGGGATTTTTCCATGCTTTTCTCATGATAGTGAATAAATCTCATGAGAACTGATGGGTTTTATAAAGGGCAGTTTCCCTGCACACGCTCTCTTGCCTTCTGCTACGTAAGACATGTCTTTGCTCTTCCTTCACCTTCCACCATGATTGTGAGGCCTCTCTAGCTATGTGGAACTGTGAGTCCATTAAACCTTTTTTTTTTTCCAATAAATCACCCAGTCTCAGGTATGTCTTTATTAGAAGCATGAGAATAGACTAATATAGTCAATTGGTTGCACAGAGAATGCAGCACTGCTGTAAAGATACTCAAGAATATGGAAGTGACTTTGGAACTGGGTAACAGGTGGAGGCTGGAACCATTTGGAGGGCTCCAAAGAAGGTAGAAAAATGTGGGAAAGTTTGGAACTTCCTAGAGACTCGTTTAATGGCTTTGACCAAAAGGCTGATAGTGATATGGACAATAAAGTCCAGGCTGAAGTGGTCTCAGATGGAGATGAGGAACTTGTTGGAAACTGGAGTAAAGGTCACTTTTGCTATGCAAAGAGACTGGTGGCATTTTGCCCCTGCCCTAGAGATCTGTGGAACTTTGAACTTGAGAGAGATGATTTAGTATCTGCTGGAAGAAATTTCTAATTGGCAAAGCATTCAACAAGAAGCAGAGCATAAAACTTTGAAAACTCTATGGCCTGATGATATGAGAGAAAAGAAAACCACATTTTTTGAGGAGAAATTCAAGCTGGCTGCAGAAATTTGCATAATGAATGAGGAGCCAAATGTTAATCACCAAGACCATGGAGAAAATGTCTCCAGAGCATGTCAGAGACATTTGAGGCAGCCCCTTCCATCACAGGTCCAGAGGTCTAAGAGGGAAAAATAGTTTCCTGGGCCAGGTTCAGGGGTTCCCTGATGTATGCAGTCTTGGGACTTGGTGTCCTGTGACCTACATGCTCCAGCCATGACAAAAAGTGGGCAACATACAGCTCAGGCCATTGTTTCAGAGGGTGCAAGCCCCATGCCTTGGCAGCTTCCACGTGGTGTTGAGCCTGTAGATGGACAGAAGTCAAGAATTGAGGTTTGAGAACCTCTGCCTAGATTTCAGAAGATGTATGGGAACACCTGGATGCCCAGGCAGAAGTCTGCTACAGGGGCAGAGCCCTCATGGAGAACCTCTGCTAGGGCAGTGTGGAAGGGAAATGTGAGGTTGGATCCCCGCTGGGGCACTGCCTGGTGGAGCAGTAAGAAGAAGGCCACCATATTCCAGACCCCAGAATGGTAGATCCAACAGCAGCTTGCACCATGTGCCAGGAAGTGCTGCAGACACAACGCCAGCCCGTGAAGGCAACCAGGAGGGGTCCTGTACCATGCAAAGCCACAAAGGCAGAGCTGCTCAAGACTATAGGAAACTACCTCTTGCATCAGCATGACCTGAATGTGAGACATGGAGTCAAAGGGGATCGTTTTGGAAGTTTAAGGTTTAGTGACTGCCCTATTGGATTTCAGACTTGCATTGGGCCTATAGCCCCTTTGGTTTTGACTGATTTCTCCAATTTGAAATGTGTATATTTACCCAGTGCTTGTACCCCCATTGTATCTAGGAAGTAACTAACTTGCTTTTGATTTTACAGGCAGAAGGGACTTGCCTTGTCTCAGATGAGATTTTGGACTGGGAATTTTGAGTTAATGCTGGAATGAGTTGAGACTTTCGGGGACTGTTGAGAAGGCATGATTGTGTTTTGAAATGTAAGGACAATGGTATGGTTTGGCTGTGACATCACCCAAATGTCATCTTGATTGTAGCTGCCATAATCCCCTTGTATCATAGAAGGGACCTGGTGGGATGTAATTGAATCATGGGGGCAGGTTTTCCCATGCTGTTCTCATAAAAATGAGTAAGTCTCATGAGATCTGATGGTTTTATAAAGGGCAGTTTCCCCCGCCAACACTCTCTTGCCTGCAGCCATGTAAGACATGCCTCTGCTCCTCCTTCACCTTCTGCCATAATTGTAAGGCCTTCCCAGCCATGGGGAACTATAAGTCCATTACATCTTTTTTTTTAATAAATTACTCAGTCTCAGGTATGTCTTTATTAGCAGCATGAGAACGGACTAATACATTCCTCTTCAAATTTGTTTACAGAATGAGAGAAGAATTCTTGAAATAGTGTTCTGTGTTTAAAATTTATGTTAAATCACAACGTTGAGACAAAAACCATCTAGCACACAATGGAGCTTAGTTTTATATTATGAGAAAATCTTGTTAATTTTATCCTGTCACAGTTTCATCATTGCTTCTGTAAGCCATTAAGAAGCAATGGATGATTTATAAATGTTTTGTAAATACAGGTAGAAAACCAAATGGAAGGAATTATTATAAAGGAAGAGGACAAAGAAGTTTCCTCCTTTCTGATGCTGCTCACAAATTATCTTGAGTTGAAAAAGTAGACATTTTTAAATGACTGATAAATCATAATACATATTAAAATTTATGTATAAGATAGCTAGGGTCCCTAAATTAATTAATTATCCAATAGTCTCAACAATTTCTAATATCTAAATTTGTGATCTGTCTCCATCACAAAACATTGCTACTTTTATTAGACTGGTTTAGATATGTCTAAACAAAAGTAAACTTTTGCTATAGATGCTTGCATTATATACAATTGGTTTTGATAGATCTTCAGTAATGAAGGGAAGGTTATGTTTTCACTGTTTTTTTTTTTTCTTTTTTCTTTTTTTTTAGACAGAATCTTGCTCTATTGCCGGGCTAGAGTATAGTGGTGCGATCTCAGCTCAATGCAACCTCCACCTCCTGGGTTCAAGCAATTCTTCTGCCTCAGCCTCCTGAGTAGCTGGGACTACAAGCACACGCCTCCATGCCCAGCTAAGTTTTGTAATTTTAGTAGAGACGGCGTTTCACCATGTTGGCCAGGATGGTCTCGACTTCTTGACCTCATGATCTGCCTGCCTCAGCCTCCCAAAGTGCTGGGATTACAGGCATAAACCACCATACCTGGCCATGTTTTCACTGTTATAAATAGTGCCTCTGTTACTGTTGTTTTGCTTTAGCTCTACTTTAAGTTAATAATGATGCACCATGTATAGATGACATAACTGGAATCTATACCATCTAGCCTTTGGTAATATAAAATTGGAATATAAATCCAAAATATTTCTCATTATCATTTAAGCTATAGAATATTCTTTACTATGAGTGGCATTTTATGCAAGCAAAGACTTACAAATTATTGTAAGTTTGTTAACATTATACAGGAAATAAGACATTGACCTTAAATATAAGAATCTAACTGCTAATATGTACTAATTTGGTCATCGTTAATTTGATGATACCAACTAAGCAGTTTAAAGCCCACAGGAGAGTTTTACCCAGACATAGGAATACTAATGTGCTAAATTATATAAATGTGCATAAAAATTTAATCACCTTTGGAAATTCCTCACCTATGTTGTGTTGATTTATGAGCTGCACAGTTCCCATTTTTTAAAGGAATTTTTAACCGTTTGGAAGACTAAGTCAGATGATCACATACCATAAAACTGTGTTTCTTAAGTCATTTTAATTCAGACATCCAATGTGTTCTCAACAGATGTTTGGGAATGAATTTGTGATCTAAATTCTAATATGGTGAAATAGGCTTATGGCAATTTTATCGTTGAACAATAACTGTTACAGAAGCAACAAAAAGGCTAAGCAAAAAAGGTTGCAACCACAAAGAAATATCCAAACTGCAATGTGTGCTTGGGATACAAGTGTAAACTAATGTTAAACACTCCTGATGTAAATGCTGTCTCTGTCACTTACTATTTTTGTTACTTCACGTAAGTTATCTTTACCTCTATCTTATTATAGTTAAAGATAATAATATAACTGCCATATGACTACCATAACAAAATGCCACAGATCTGTGACTTGATAGAAATATTTTTCTCATATTTATGGAGATTAGAAATCCAAGATCAAGGTGCAGGCAGGGCTGGTTTCCCATAAGATCTTTCTTGTTGGTTTTCAGATGGCTGCCTTCTTACTGTGTCCACACGTGGCTTTTCCTCTGTGTGTGTCATCCCTGGTGTCTCCTCCTGTTTTTATAAGGACACCAGTCATATGGGTTAAGACCCTACCCTAACAGACTCATTTTGACATAATCATTTCTTGAAAGACCTTATCTCTAAATACCATTATATTCTGAGGTTCTGAATTTTGGGGTGACACAATTCAGCCCAAAACACCTCACTAAACCTTAGTTTGGCTTTATTTTCTGAAAAAATTGAGATAATATTACTTATATGACAAGATTGCTATGAGAATAAATGGGATACAACATGCAAATCACTTAGTATAGTGACAGGCACATTTTAAATATTTAATAAATATAATTTTGCTGGTATTATAATTGTTATTATCAATATCAGCATATTATAATCTCATCGGGATTTATTTTGTGTTACATTTAATAATAACAGTATCCTATTTCATGTAATCCTTATTTTTTTATTTTTTATGTTTTGAGACAGGGCCTCACTCTGACACCTAGGCTGGAGTGCAGTGTCAGGAATACGGCTCACTGCATCCTAAACCTCCTGGGCCTGGATTCTCCCACTTCAGCCTTCCACATAGCTGGGACTTACAGGTGCAGACCACCACACCCAGATTATTATAACTTTTATTATTGTATTTTTTTGTAGAGCAGGGGTTTTGCCATGTTTCCCAGGCTAGTCTCAAACTCCTGAGCTCTATTGATCCACCCGTCACAGTTTCCCAAAGTGCTGGGATTATAGGTGTGAGCCATTGCGCCTGGCCCCCTTATGTTTCTTCAACATATTTCCTGAACTAATTACAGACTCGGTGAATTCTTTCTTGCTTTGTATTTTGAGAAATATAGTGATAAAAATCATTATCCTCACTGACAATAAAAAAGCAAGTTATATTTAGTTGGGCAAAGGCATACTGTTATTTCAAGTATCAGATTAAAACTTGAACTATAATTTTCATAGAAAATAACCATGTTAATGATCTGTATTCTTACATGCATATGAAAAAGGTGAATTGTGTTATGTAAATCAGGATAACAGAGATTATTCTATAATATTCTCCAAATAAAATAACAATGTCTTGATACAATAAAAGTTTATTACTTGCTCAAGGAACATGTCAGTTGTAAGTTTGTATATGGGAGGTGGCTCCTGTGCTCACTGTAGTCATTTAGGTATCTGGGCTTGTTTACTAACTATATCACAAATTCTGCCAGATATTGTGGCGTAAGTAAAGAATGTTCTTGAAGCTCTTCTTATTAAGTAAATGTCTTTCCTATAAGTGAGATGTTTTATGCACTTATAATTTTTCAGAACTAATCCTATGACTGCAGTCACCTACATCAGAATCAGGAAGGATAATTCTATTATATTTTCAGAATTCAGTGAGGTGACCATATTTGAATACATAGTGAACAAAATTAATTGCTACTACAATTGCAGTCTCTCCATGTCTTAAATTCAACTCATGCATTTTGACATTAATGTTTTTACAACCATAGGACAAGTATCCATGGGAATGAATACACACACACAAACACACAAGACAACATATATTACTGAATAAAAATCAATGACTAGCAAAGTTATTATAATAATCTCTATAAAAGCCTCATCCCTAATAGTTATAACATTATATAAAATAAATGTAATCTATTATAACACATTGTTTTTATCAAAACACAAATTGTTCTTGAAAGAAGAAAGCCTCTATCTTTTTTGATGATAGTTAACAAAAAATTATCTGTTGCCAAAAGGAGCCCTCATAATAAAAATTCATAAATTTGCAACACTCCAACAGACTGTTAAACAATGATGGATGCTGTTAGAAATAAACCAATATTAGCAAATGAAATCATTGACTTAAAATGTTCTAACATTAATAACATAAAAAGAGCTGGCTTAAAGAAATGACATGTAAGCTTTGTAACAAAACATTATTAGAATTGAAGGAGTGCTATTAAATTAATCATAGCCACTGATTCCTTAAAATAAAAGTATATTTAAAAATGAAAATCATTATTTTTATTTTGAGCCCAAGGCTTTGATGATTATAATAATCATAACTCCTAAAAATTAATTAAATTGCATAACCAATGTATATTCTGTAAGTTCTTTATCCTGTGCTATAGCAATAGCAAAACAAAGGAAGAAAACTAAAAAGAAAGGAAATAAAGTAAGGTTTTATTATACATAAAACCTGAACAATGAAAAGTATCAAGAGTAACTAAAGAAAAAGTTGTACGTATTTTTCATACTTAGGTCCACTCTTGTTCTTAAATTTCCAAACACTATCTCTATATATGTTAAAATAGAAAAAGCCTGTGAAAAGTTACATATTTCTCCAGGGCAAACAAAAGTTCATTGTCTTGTGAAATGTAGAATTCCAGATTTCCCACAGTGATGGATTCAGAAATAAAAGAAAATATTTGAATAAATGGTTTATCTTTTATTAAGTAATGGTTCTTCCTAAATATTATTTATTTTATTTTATTTTATTTTATTTTATTATTTTTATACTTTAAGTTTTCGGGTACATGTGCACAATGTGCAGGGTATTTACATATGTATACATGTGCCATGCTGGTGTGCTGCACCCATTAACTCGTCATTTAGCATTAGGTATATCTCCTAAAGCTATCCCTCCCCCCTCCCCCCACCCCACAACAGTCCCCAGAGTGTGATGTTCCCCTTCCTGTGTCCATGTGTTCTCATTGTTCAATTCCCACCTATGAGTGAGAATATGCGGTGTTTGGTTTTTTGTTCTTGCGATAGTTTACTGAGAATGATGATTTCCAATTTCATCCATGTGCCTACAAAGGACATGAACTCATCATTTTTTAAGGCTGCCTAGTATTCCATGGTGTATATGTGCCACATTTTCTTAATCCAGTCTATCATTGTTGGACATTTGACTTGGTTCCAAGTCTGCTATTGTGAATAGTGCTGCAATAAACATACGTGTGCATGTGTCTTTATAGCAGCATGATTTATAGTCCTTTGGGTATATACTCAGTAATGGGATGGCTGGTTCAAATGGTATTTCTAGTTCTAGATCCCTGAGGAATCTATACTTTTTCCTTACTTCTCCTTCTGCCGAAATCTAGTACTTCCCCATGTGGACCTGTAATAGGATTCTTCAGAAAAACAGAACCAACAGATTCCAATTGTGTGTGTGTGTGTGTGTAAAATTTAACAACAAATCTTATGTATACACATAAGAGAGATGCAGACAGAGAAGTCCCAAGATGGGCAGTCAGCAAGCTGGAGACCCAGAAGAGCTGATGCAAAAAGCTCTAATCTAAAGACTAGAAAGCTCTACCCCAAAAGAGCCAACGTTTCAATTCAAGTCTGCAGGCTGGAGAATTCCTATATTGCAGTTCAAGGCAGTCCAGCCAGAGGAATTCCTTCTTACTCTGCTTTTTTGTTATACTCAGACCTCCAATTGGCTGGAAGAGGCCCACCTCAACCAGCTCCCTTATCAGGCTCTCACATGCTCAGTCACAAACACTTCCCTGAATTTCCCCAGAGCCAGATACCAAACCTCACTCATCTCTCCCCACTTGCTATACATTACCTATCTCTTACAGCTCCATCCTGAGGTTACTCTGTCTCTGGGTGGGCCACCTTGTGTACCCTGCCAGGCAGTCTTCTCTCCTTTGGGGTTGAAAGTAACATAGAATTTGCTTTTCGTCTATGCAAGTGCCCATGTGTTGGGTCCCATCATCCAAACAAGGAGGTATGCACATCTGTACATATAAGTGCATACATATCTATCTTCTCCCCACAATTTCTACCCTAGTTCAATTTGCAATTATTCCTACGTTGAACTGTTAAAATACTTTTCTAATATAAACTATCCATTCTGCAATTTGAGATCCCAAATATTCTTTATAAAATAAATCACACTGTGAATGCCTCTGCTTAAAATTATTTGTTCAGGCTTACAAACAGTTTCAAATTTGAATCCACGATAGTTTTTCTGTTCTTGTACAGACACATTACTGGAACACAGAAACTTTGCATTGTAAAGCTCTCTGACAATAGTATTTCTATTCCCTGTATTGTCCTTATCAAATTCAGCTGGAAATTCCCCAGTTGTTCTTCAAAAACTAGCACTAACAGTATCTTCAACCCCTAGGATAAAATTAATGGCTGCTAATTCCACAACTGCAGCACCTGGCAAACACCACCAAAATGTATCCTATCAATATGTAACATGTTTATGTGGCTACATTTTTACTTCCCAATTAAAATGGACTTCCTGAGATAGTAAGTATAGTTTATTTTTTCTTGTATTCACTCTCAATTATATTATCGAATACCTGGCAGATAGGGCACATTCAATCATTTGATTCGTTGAGTTCAATTGACTATAACTTTTATATATATATATATATATATATACACACACACACATAGACTAACTAAAGGTGTGTGTGTATATATATAGATGTATATATATACATGAATATATATAGGTGTATACATATACACATACACACACACACAAAACCCTTTAGTTAGAATACATTTACTAATCTGGGAAGGAGACTACTTTTATTAAAAGTATTTCTTAAACTAAAATTTTGGGGCAATTATAAGAAAATGGTGAGATTTGTTTTTCTCCCACAACACAGCAAATATATCAAAAGTACCTGTCCTCATGCTTTATGTGGCCCAGAGATAGTTAAATATTGAAACGTGGAGATGTTACAATAAAACTTAAGCCCAGAAGTCATAAATTCAAGGATTCTCTCAGGTAATTTTTAACTTAACCTTATTTTTGCCATGTGAAATCAGAGAGATTTATACATAATATCCATCAGGAAAAAATTCTAAAGAAAATATCACTTTCACCATCTTTAGAAAAATTGAATCATATTTTTTAAATCCTGCATGTTTATAAGTTTATTCAGTGCCATAGAAAAAGAAACTGCTAGATCAAGATAAATAGACACGAATCCTTCATGCTTTGTAGACAGAACATTCTAGAAATTGTAGGTAGTGTGAAAACTCTGCACAATTAAAAAAAAAGCTCTGGGATAAAGATTGAATGAATGCAATAATTACTTAAGTACAGGATGAGCACACGTTCTGGGCCAGGTGGGAATGCAAAGGAGGGTTGGACATTAAAAAAAGGCAGGGAGACCTTATGAGAGAGCCATATGCTGACCAAAGAGTTCCTCAAATGTATAAGGGGAAAACAATTGGAATATAGCTCCAAATTTTGCTGTAATATCGTATGTATGTATGTAGGTATATATTACATAGTTTTATGTATATTATATACATCCCCACCTGTGCATTGCATATTTCAACTAATTTATTATATGCAGTTTATTGCAACATATGACTCAGCATACCGATTTACTAAATCCCATGCTTTTATGACCCTCCTTCATGTATGGTTAAATAGAGACAACTGTACCCAGTAGCTGTGTGGAACACTTTTGAACGTGAGGCTGAGGCCTACAAAGAGTAGTTCAAGTAAATGGCAGCCTGGATCAGCTTGCTTTCTTCACATCAAAACTAGATAATCCAAATCCTATCTTTCACTTTAAGTCTAAATTTTGGTTTCCAGGTACCTAAATACAGTTTTATTTCTGAAAATGGTCACTCAAAGTTTTAACTTTACTCATGCTTCCATGTTACTTTAAAAAAGTTATATATAAGAACTAAGATAAACACTATTATTTTATTAATAAATAAAAGCAATTGTGATACATGTCCTTCTTATACTCCTCAATATTCTTCAAAATACTAAATTCAGTATTTAGTACTTTAGTATTTCAGTGCAAATTTGACTTAGCATAAATTAATAAGAAAATAACACTTCAGAACACAAAATAACATCTGCAAATAATGTTGTTGCTCCATTGCGGCTGCTCCCTACACACCAAGCAACATATGACCAGAGGCAGCATTTAGCACAACTCTCTGGAGGATATTTTGTTATTTGCTGTGAGAAAAGGGAAAAATGAAGCCCATTTGACAGTGGTAGAGATGAGACTCTAACCATTTTTGGTTTCTTTCCACCATTTATTTTGTAAAACATAAGCATCGAGTTCATAGAGACCTGATGTTAGAAAGCTGTACCTATGAGTAACAGATGGCAGCTTGTGGGGGGTTGGAATATGCAGCAATAGGAGCTCGATATTCTGTATTTATGTATTCTTGGAGCTGATAAGCATTTGAGAGGCTTTCCTATTTACAAATTTGCAAACAGAAATAAATCATATTAGTCAACAGCTTTTATTTTCAATTTTATTCTATGAGTCATGAGACTTGGAGTATCGGAAAATATTGAAAAAGAATACATATTTATATAACTGTATATGCATATGCAATGTCTTCAAAATAAATACTGGATTCTTTCATTATTTTTAAGATGAATAAACTACCAAAATATGTATTATTGTGTATATTTAAGAAGAGGAAACAATATTTCCAAGCCTGTTAATAGTACATAAAAGAAAATAAGAATATAAAAATATTTTATTTTAAAATGTTTACCTCACAGTATTTAGTTATTTAGTTGCCTCAAACATTGATTTAGGTTTTTTATGCCTAAAAAATTAGTTGTTTATGTCTTTTAAATCACTAAATTAGTCTGCAATCTGCCTATTGACAATAAGGAAAATAAAGTGTCTTATCTCACATCCTGTCACACCATAATTATATGAACATTTTCACACAGTTAATTTTGTTTGTATTCAGTTAGAAATACCTGCTGGGTGGGGATTATCATTACATTCAGGATATGCCTGATTTGCCAAAAGGCCAGAACTATCACTCAGCATACTAAAATTCTCTCAGCAACTGAAGTACATTTAGAAAGAATGAAAATGAGGCATCTTCATCATATTAAAGAAAATATTAGCTAATTTTCAAGCACTTGATATACATGAATCTATGCAACCAGTTTAAATACAAAAGACATTCTTTTGAGTTCACCTGATATTTGAGGGATTTTACCTAACAAACTCTATTGACAGAGGAAGAGAAAAATGCAATTGGTGCTCAAACTCATCTTCTGTTTATCTAATTGCAAAGTGAACAAATCTCCCAATTCACAATATAAAACTACCAGTATCCAAAGCCCTAATTAAATACTTTTAGAAAAAACTACCTAATTTTAGCCTCTATCAAAAGTCAGAAAATATTATATCAGAACCATTGTCTAAAGAAAGTACAATTTCAACACATCTTGAGACAATTTACTTCTAGAAGCAACTACACTACCCTTGTCTGGGTAAAACATTTTATTATTATGAAACAAGATTGCTTGGGAATTTACAACTGCCAAAGGAAATGAAGTATGCCTAAATAATTTCAGAGGTATTAAGGACATTATTGCTTAATATTATTACATTTATTATTATGACCCAACTTAAGTCATATTCGAAAAGGCTGTGCTTGTGTGTTTGGCAATATTTTGGTACTAGGAAAGCTTGACATTCCAAGTTTCTCCCCATGGAAGGCAGAATTTCCCCTTAAAGATATCTACTCCCTAATTCCTGGAACCTTTGAATACATAATATTTCTTGAACAGAGGAATTTTGCAGATGTAATTAAGGTTGAAGATCTTAAAATTAAAAGATTAATTTGAAATTTATGAGGGGGTCCAATCTAGTCACAGGAACCTTTAAAAGCTGAGAGCTATCTTCAGCTGGAGAAGAAGAAATCTGGCAAAAGAGATGTTAGAGAGACTTAAAGCTTAAGAACTTAACATACATTGCTTATTTGAAGAATGAAAGGATGAAGCGATCAGGAATGCAGGTGGTCTAAAGCAGCTAGGTCTCCCAGCCAATAGCCTGCCAGGATAGCACAGGAATTTTGCCAGAAACACGAATGATTTTGGAAGAAGATTCTCTCTCAAAGCTTTGAAATAAGAGCCCAGGCTAACCGATGCTTTGATTGTAGTCCTGTGAGATTTGGAAAAGGGGAAGCAGTTGAGCCTACCAAGACTTTTGGCCTACAGAATTTTAAGAAAATATGTTTGTGTTGTTCCAAACAATGAAATTTGTGACTATTTGCTACAGCAGTGATAGAAAACTAAGACACTGATCCACAGAAAGAATGGGCTTCCTACTTTGGATAACAGGAGCAACATATCCAATTGCAATCTCTTTTTTGTTGTCCACTAGTATACTCACAACTAATTTTAAGTAGGATCTTTATCCCTCATATAGGTGCCTTTTTCATTCCATGTATTTTAATTTTTTTCTGAATTTTTTAAACAATTTAATGATGTTTGTGTTTGCATCTTTAAAAAATAATATTAAGTTGCAATATCCTATTTAGAAATAAATGGAATATAAATATGAAAAATAAAATTAATTTTGTTTTTATTCATAGCTTCTGTCATTATGAAATATTTAAATAGTCTACTGGAATACACAAAAGGCAAGGTAAAATAAATTAGGATTATATGTGATGAACATCAATTGTATTTCATAGACAATATATATTTTCTGCACCTTTGATGGCAGTAGACTGGGTTTTGGGGAAGATTTACCTCTCCTGTTTTATCTGAAATCTTGATGGTAGTGGCATGACATATATCTCACCACTTTAGTGAAGGGAATCTCTCCTAAGTTCTCTGCGGGGACATAGTTAAATCGTGGATTATCTGTTCTTACATAATCCATTTTAGCATTTTTTTTTTCTTTTTTTTTTTAAGACGGAGTCTCGCTCTGTCACCCAGGCTGGAGTGCAGTGGTGCAATCCTGGCTCACTGCAAGCTCCGCCTCCCGGGTTCACGCCATTCTCCTGCCTCAGCCTCTCCGAGTAGCTGGGACTACAGGCGCCCACCACCACGCCAGGCTAATTTTTTGTATTTTTAGTAGAGACTGGGTTTCACTGTGGTCTCGATCTCCTGACCTCGTGATCCGCCCGCCTCGGCCTCCCAAAGTGCTGGGATTACAAGCGTGAGCCACCGCGCCCGGCCAGCATATTTTTATGTAGCCTTTAAAACCCATTCTCAATATTTTGCCTCAGATGTTCTAGCATCTCCACCTAATTTACTGTAAACTATTAATTTTTCTAAGGTTCAGCAAAACAAAAACGGCACTGGAAAAAGTTAAAAGTAAGACTTTATTTAAGGGTATTGTGAAAGGAATAGACACAATAATGGCGTATCAATTCAATGCTATTAAAGCAACAGAAAGAGAGCTTTCAAAAGGTAGAGAGAGTAGGCAGATAGAAGATATCAGGTCATCTGTATTTTTTCACTTGCCTTATGCAAAGAAATAGTTAGCATTATCCTATCTTTGTATCTTCAGAACCAGAGGTAGTTTTATAACTGGAATAAGATGCTCACTGAGAAAGTTAGTGTATTAGTCCATTCTCACGCCGCTAATAAAGACGTATCTGAAACTGGGTAATTTATAAAGAAAAAGAGGTTTACTGGACTCACAGTTCCACATGGCTGGGGAGGCCTCACAATCACGGCAGAAGACGAAGCAGGAGCAAAGAACGTTTACATGGCGGCAGGCGAGAGCTTGTACAGGGAAAACTACGCTTTATAAAACCGTCAGATCTCGTGATACTTACTCACTATCACGAGAACAGCACAGGAAAAAGCCGCCCGTATGATTCAATTACCTTCCACCAGGTGCCTCCCACTGTAACACTTGCTGTCTAGGGCTTTGGAGGTCATTGGTACTCCCCGCTAGATGCTTCCGTGGGGCTCACAGAGTTTTGTTCCAGCTGACACCCAAAAGCGCTCACCTGCGTGCCCCTTCCCGGGAAGGGTTGAGCGCCCACAGGTTCCAGTGAGTGGAGTTTGCCCCTGCCAATGCTGAAGCAGCTGGCTAGCTCCAGTGCCTGCACTGCAGTTCCCACCCACCAAGGGGTCAGGGGAATTTCCTGCTTCAGTATATTCCTCAAGTCTGAGATTTACTTACTTTTATAAGTGCCTAATTTGTAAGACAAAGCTCTCTTTCAACAAAGCATCAGCATTCTCCGAGTTGATAGATGGCTTACCTAAGTCTGTCTTTTTTTTTTAATTTTTATTTTACTGCTTTGAACTTGAGTGTTCATATTACCTCCTCAACACTCATAATTATTTATAATTGCCATTTTTACAGTACTGCTCAAGTACTACACTATTTTTATAGCCCAGTATGGACCCTTAGATCTTTACTCCAACCAAATTCACAACATGTGGGGGGTCTTAGAACTTCGGATGTTTTATTACGCTAAGAGTTCTCACTCCTTCACTTATCACCATAAATAGCCAGAGGACAATTCTGTACTGGAAACCCATTATGAGAATCTGCCTTCTAGGAATCCACTTCTAATACCACTTGTCTTTGTTTTGATTTACCCAAAATCAACCTTGAGATGGGAATTCAAGTATCAGTGGTTTATTGGAAGGTAATTTAGGGAATCATAATAGTTGTGTGGAGAAGTTAGACCCCCCAGAAATATAAATACTCCATTAGATCATTTGAATTTTGATTCTTGATTTGACCCTTCTTTTCTTTTATATCAGGGGTCAGAAAACTTTTTTTTTTTTTTGAGACAGAGTCTTGCTCTGTCGCCCAGGCTGGAGTGCAGTGGCGCGATCTCGGCTCACTGCAACCTCCACCTCCCGGGTTCATGCCATTCTCCTGCCTGAGCCTCTTGAGCAGCTGGGACTACAGGCGCCCACCACCACGCCC
Source organism: Homo sapiens (assembly GCF_000001405.40). NCBI lineage: Eukaryota > Metazoa > Chordata > Mammalia > Primates > Hominidae > Homo > Homo sapiens. Next base: position 20,615,231 of record NC_000005.10, on the reverse strand, counting down.
AACTAATTTTTTGTATTTTTAGTAGAGACGGGGTTTCACCGTGTTAGCCAGGATGGTCTGGGTCCCCTGACCTCGTGATCCACCCGCCTCGGCCACCCAAAGTGCTGGGATTACAGGCGTGAGCCACCGCGCCCGGCCAGAAAACTTTTTCTGTAAAGGGTCAGTTAGTAAATGTTTTAGGCTTTGCAGTCCATGTGATCTCTGTCCTAGCCACTGAACTTGTCATGGTAGCATAAAAACAGCCATGGATAATGTGTCACTGATTGAACATGGATGTGTTCCAATAACGTTATTTATAAAAACAAGCACTGGGCTGGATTTGGCCCAGAGGCCCTACTTTATTAATTCATACTCTATTTTATGTCTCAAGGACAAGAATCATGACTTTTTGTCAATATAATGTAACTATTTGGCCAATTGTCTACACATAGATAATACTTATAGAGAAATAATAAAAGTTTTAACATATTTGTAGGTGATATGGATGGTGACATTGCAATGATCTTTCCTCTTGCTTACTTCAATGAACTTGAAAATATGGTTGCATTTTAAAAGGTAAGCTGAAAATTAAAACCCAAGATTGAATCATGAATAGTTATCTTCAAAGCAGAATAGAAATGCACCACCCAAACAAGCTTGGCAGTCACCTAATTACTTTATTGCCCTTGATAAAGAAATAATATTTCCCCCAGTTGGTCAATTGTAAATAAATGGAAAGCAGATGAAGCAGAGAGAGAGGCAAACTTTGACTGAATAGCACCACTCTATCCAAAATAGAAAGGTGGAGCTTCAAGGATCTGACCTCATTGCCCCCAAGACAGGCAGAATGCTACCGTGGAAAGGATCCTTAGTCATAAATTTGCTAAATATTTTACCTAATTCCCGCTTGCTTTTGTTCCTTGTTATTTTACCAACTTTGATGGAAAATTTTTGTATAAAATGTATTATTATCCCGTTCATATTAAGTTCAAGCATATGCTTAAGTAAGCATGATACTACATAAGGACACAGCCTTAGATAGCAAATTTATTTTTTGTAAAAAAGCAGCACAGGCTGGGTGTGGTGGCTCATGCATTTAATCACAGAACTTTGGGAGGCCAAGGCAGGAAGTTCACTTGAGGCCAGGAGTTCCACAGCAGCCTGGCCAAATGGCAAAACCCCATCTCTACTAAAAATACAAAAATCAGCCAGGTGTGGTGGCGGGCCCCTGTAGTCCCAGCTACTCGGGAGGCTGACGCACAAGAATCACTTGAACCTGGAGGTGTAGGTTGTAGTGAGCTGAGATCACACCACACACTCCAGCCTGAGTAACAAGCGGGAAAACATCTCAAAAACAAACAAAAAAAAAGCAGCACAGATTTTACACATAGTGAGTAAGAGGATGGCTAGAAGCGTGCTTTGAGGAATGGCATATTTATTAAACAAAAAGTGTGTACAAACGTATTTGGTATGTTGTATTAGCACTTTACACTTCTGTTACAAATGTTGCTTTGCATGAAATTTTTACAGAATGAAAAAAGTACTTGCCTGAGTATTGTTATATCTTTCCTTTTTGGAAATCTTTCTGAGGAATGGGGAACCCCTTTCATAAGTTATTCAAACAATGCTCATAATTTCAGAATGAAGTATTTTCATGCATGTATTAGCATCACTCTTAGTTATTAGATAAAACAGCAAATTGAATGAAATGTTTTTTTCTCAAAATATGTAGACTAGTTCTAAATCGATATTTTAGCTCTTTCTTCAGCTGGACTATGCTCATCCTCCTTTCTAGTTGAGGTTATAAATTTAACAATGTTATTGAGAGGCGAAGCCAGCTGGGCTTCTGGGTCACGTGGGGACTTGGAGAACTTTTCTGTCTGGCTAAAGGATTGTAAATGCACCAATCAGTGCTCTGTGTCTAGCTAAAGCTTTGTAAATGCACCAATCAGCACTCTGTAAAAACTCACCAGTCAGCGCTCTGTGTCTAGCTAAAGGTTTGTAAACACACCAGTCAGCACTCTGTAAAAACGGACCAATCAGCGGTCTGTAAAATGGACCAATCAGCAGGACGTGGGTGGGGCCAAATAAGGGAATAATAGCTGGCCAGGGGAGCCAGCCGCGGCAACCTGTTTGGGGCTCCTTCCAGCTTTGGAAGGTTCATTCTTTTGCTTTTCACAGTAAATCTTGCTGCTGCTCACTCTTCAGGCCTGTGCTACCTTTATGAGCTGTAGCACTCACTGCAGAGGTCTGCGGCTTCACTCCTGAAGTCAAGTCGGGGAGACCATGAAACCACCGGAAGGAAGAAACCCCGGACACATCTGAACATGTGAAGGAACAAACTCCTGACACAACATCTTTACGAACTGTAACGCTCACCGTGAGGGTCTGCGGCTTCATTCTTGAAGTCAGCGAGACCGAGAACCCACTGGAAGGAACCAATTCCAGACACATTATCACTAATTAAACCTATGTCTGTACCTTCTAGCATTATATATAAAAAGTGCAACATAGAAAACAAAATTTAAATCCACAACTATTTAATATTCACAACTTCTGGATTTATCTCATGTTGCAAACTATTTTTGTTACCCTATTCTTTGAGAAATATAAAACATCAGTATTTCATTGGTGAAATGTTCTTTATAGTAGTTTAAATAATAATTGCATACAATCACGTGCTATATGTATACTCTCCTGCAATAAAGAATGGCATGAGCATAATTACAAGAATTAATGACCTTGCATTAGTGTAGCTGTAAATCAAGCAAAATCTGCAAATTATTTTAATTGCAGCATCCAGTTAAAATATTTTGGTCAATGAGCCTTTACAAATTGTATTAAAATGCGTAAAAATAATTTTGCTGTGCTATATATTATGCTAACACACATTTATGATGGGAGACTTTCAAATACAATCTTTCCTTTTTTTCTAATAGAATTATGCATTTATTTATCAACTTACCTGAGAAGATATCTAGTCTTAAACTGTCACTGAATAGATAAAAACATTGTGAAAAATTTTTTTTCCATATAAACCTATGTTTTCCAGTTACTAGGTAAGATGTACTAGTTTTATACTGTTGAGTAACAGATTATCACACCTTGCAGCTATAAAAAGCATACATTTATTATCTCACACTTTCTATCCATCAGACGTCTAGCACATTTTAGCTCCTCCTTCATTCACGGTCCCACAAGGTTAAAGTTCAGCTGTCAACTGGGCTATCTTTTCTTCTAGAGCTTGGGGTTTTCGTTAAGACTTACATCGTTGTTGACAGGATTCAATTCCTTCTAGCTATAGGGCTGAGGTCACCATTTTCATTTTCTTTTTCCATGTTGTCCAGAGGATGCTCTCAACCCCTGGAGGTCCCCAACCAGGCCCTTGCCACGTGGCCTAGTACATGGCAGCTCACTTCCTCAAAACCAGCTGGAAAATATCTCTCTGTGGTTGCCGGGGCTAATGTCTTAGGTAACAATGATGAGAATGACTATCACATCATAATCGCAGTCCCCGTTTACACTCAAAGGTAGTGTATATGCCAGGGACAGGATGCTGAGGTTTATCTTAAAATTCTGTTTGCCATGCTGCCCCAATTGCATGTTTCAGCCCCACAAGCAGAAAATGGTCTCTCCCTGGTCCCAAGAACATAATTGCTTGTCATAGTCCACAACCACCAAACTGGAAACTGATTAGCATTTACACTTGAATGGAATTAAGACTATCACTGCTAGAATGGTTCTTTATGGCTTATAAACAGAGGAGTTGAATAATTTCTGAAAATGGCTAGTTATGAAATAATTTTTTTGATTTATTATTTAAATATTCAGCCTGGACATCTCCTGATACTGATACCATGTTTTCTCATGAAGATGTGTGCATAACCCCCTCTTATGAATTAATGAACATACAGCCATGACCCAAAATAGTTTTTCACCGTTAAAACTGTAAAAGTAAAATGAACAACTATTTACATCAAATTTTCACCTCATCATTTTGTTCCCAAACCTCCCTCACATATTCGCCTCAAGGTTGATAATTTTTTGATGATTATGAAAAATTTTGAGAAATGTATTGAAAATTTCACGAGGCAACATTTTTTATCTGAAATAAAGAAGAGAGTACAGTAATCCCACCAAATGATATTTAAGTCAGCAGAGAGTCAAGGTCAAAAGCAGAGAAATAGCTCCTTCAATCTGTTTTTACTGCAATATGTAATTCATTTGATAATGTTACAAATACAACCAGATCTAGCCAAGGGCATTTGTATCGGGTGTGATGAATTGTGTTTGACCTACTGGTACCACCCACTGAATACTTAACTTCTTGTATTTCAATAACTTCTCTGATAATCAACCACCTGGGCAACATTTGCAGTCTTTCAAGTTGTCACTTTGGGA